>NC_000007.14:146731107-146882622 GCF_000001405.40 Homo sapiens
ACCAAAAGTCAAATCACTAGTGAATGGCAACTGAGACTGAAATCAAAGTCCCCTAGGCCTGGCTGTGTCCAGATTGTACGAGTGCCTCATGATATCTAAGCTACAAAACCATGATGGGGGATGAGGGGAGAGTCTTGCTAGTGTCTCACAGTGCGGCTGGATGACAAGTTAGGAACAACAGCAGGACTGAGGCACCAGAGTTGCTAGGCTATGAAACACATCACGTGGAACCATGGAATCACGTGCAATATTTTATTTATTATTTATTATTTTATTTTTATTTTAATATTTGCTTAATATTTTTATATATTTTTATTTTAATATTTGCTTAACTGTTTTTTATTTCCATCAAGTTGCTCATTTCAATGTTTAATGAACATTTAGGGAACAGAGTCCAAGATCTGGGTTCAAAGACCTGAGCAGCAGAGTGAGATGAAATCAAGAAACCTTTCATAAATCTAAAAAATGATCTGTAGGCTGTTGATACAACTCACAATATCAGATTGGCAGCCTGGAAATTAGTATCTTCAGTTGAGGAATACATTAAAATCTTAAACTAAGGTCTTTCAAGAAACTTAAAACAGCACGGATAGAAGTGTGTTTTTAACGTATAAAATTATTTGTGCCTGGGATTTAATTTCTTTAACACATTCCAAAATTCCTTTAGGGCATAGGTTTTGTTCTGCACACCACTGAAATTCTGCATAAGGCACAGTGTCTAGAACCCAGAAAGTATTAAATAATTTTTTGAAAAAATATACTCATGTATATATTCCTTAGTTTTTGTCAATAGTTATTTGATATTTAGTAAAAATTACATTTTTTGTCTATATATATATATAAAAGCATCCAAAATGATAGAGAATAGAGTGATATCTAATGCTAACTGCCCAAATTACACAATTATTCCCAGCGAGTACCTATCATATGCTGAGGAATTAATCTGTAGATTCAGATACAGTACAGTGGCCAAGATTCACCAATAGATTTCTATTTTTTTCTTATACACATTTAACATCAGAATTTGAACATCATAGAAGTTTCAAAACAGTTTGTAGAAGCTACTTAAAATTTGTTTCAGATCTCCTGTAATATACATTTTATTATTTTGACCCTGCAAAGCAAATATCATTTTTATTTATAAAGCCGATGACATAAAAGCTTATTATACAGAAACTTGCATTTCTCATTTCCTAAAACTTGTTTTCTCTTCACATGTTATGACTTTGTTTCAACTTACCATAAATTCACCTTGCTGTTCCAGTTAAACTTGAAATTTATCGTGTACTCCTTGCTGCTAACCAGTAAGTCAGTGAGGAAAATATTGTATGTCAGATGCTTTTCTCAGCTCTATTTTCCTCTCTTGTTGGAATTGCCTTCTTCATTTTTTTGTGTGTTGTATATGATATTCTACTGCATTTTTAAAGAAGAGAGATAACTTCAATGCATTTATAATTCAAAGGTTTACTCATGTTGTTCTTCTGTTCCAGATGATAGATTTTGAACCATTCTTTAACACTGATTTGGCCATCATACCAAAAAGAAATACAGTTGTCCCTCATTATCCGTGGGGGAATTGGTTCCATGACCCCATAGATAACAAGATTCAAAATCCAAAATCGGATGCTTCAGTTCTTTATTTTAAATGGCATAGTATTTTCTATAACCTGCACACATCTTCCTGTATACTTTAAATCATCTCTAGATTACTTGTAATACCTAATACAATGTAGATGCTGTATTGATAGTTGCTATATTGTATTGCTATTTGCATTATTTTTTATTATTGTGATTTTAATGGTTTTGTATTTTCAAATATGTATTTTCAATCTGCAGTTGGTTGAATTCCCAAGGATACAGGGTGAAAGTGTGACTGTGTATGTATAAAAGAAACTACATTTTCAAAAGTTGATATTCTAATCATAAAAAATAGACTGCACTAATATATAATCATAGACCACTAATAGAAAAGATATTAATTGGGATTGAGAATGGAAATCCTATGCTGGCTAAAAAGTCTCTGATGAGCTAAATAGACTGATTTTGCTAAGAGCTACTCTTTCAAGAGCCCACGGGAAATAGGTACTTATTCAGTTTAGTCAAACATTCAGGAATCCAGACCCTTAGTAATTTGAAACTGTGACAGCTACAAACTTGACCAATGTCAAATTTACCTATTTCCCATCAAAATAAATATTTACATAGGAAATAAATCATAAAAACAGAATATTTGGGGATGAAGCATTATTCTTTTCAGTTGTCATTTTATTCGTTTGCTTATTATTTATAGTGTTTTATAATTAACTGCAAAAAACAAAAAACAAGAAATAAAATATATACATTTAAATTCATTTTAAAATTTAAATTTTAAACCATGTTTTAAAAAATCTAACTTTAGATTTTGAAATAACTCAGACTATTTTGCTAATTTGTTTGAACTAGTACAGTCTCATATTATAATAAGATTAAGTGACATTTACTTAGTTTGACTACCCTTTCCTATAGCGAATAAACTGACATTTAAAAAGTTGCTGCTTGCTGGCACTTAAGATTGACTGATGAGGATGTGCAGTCATGGAGGAAGAGCCAGGACTGAGAAAGAAATATAAATGAGGAAAAGGAAGAGAGAAAAGGAGCCAGACAAGACTTGAGGAGAGATGAGAGAAAGGAAATACTGTTTGAGGGTAGAAATAGGATAAATGAAGTCACAGAGAAGAGGCTTTCATTTCCACATCTGTTACTTGACCATGTCCATGGTATGAGAGTTTCATAGTTCTTTTTCTGTTTTTGCAGGCTGCATGCTCAAATATTCTCTATAAAACATAAACCCATCTCCTTACCCTCTCTTCATTTAGCATTTATTTTCAAGATGCTGGCTACATTGGTACATTAATTTCTTATAGATATTTAATGAGTCAGTTCACATTAACTGGTGTTCCCTTGCTTAAAATAATAATAATAAAGATGCTGGTAGCTTGTACCTATGATTTTGGTCACCAAAATACAGGATGTTTTTCCATTACCCAGTACTAATAAAAGGTGAGGTACAGAGGTACAGTAGGTGAGACAAATTCATAGGCTGGCAGCAGCTTAGTTTTTCCTATATTTGACCCCAACTGGAGAAATGTGTATTATTATTTTTCAAGGCTGGGTATAGAGCTATATATTGTTGAGCTGTTTTATTAATATAAATATATAGAGAGTTAAAATTGTTTTCAAAAAGCATGTTAGGAGTTCACCTAATGGGAGTGACTGAGAAGAAGAAAATGCACAGAATTTAGTATAAAGAAATCCCAAATAATAACAATAAAAAAGCATAAAGTATATCTGAAGATTTATGTTCAACAACCTAGTTCAAAATCTATAAGAAGGAATGATGATATTATCACACAGAAAATTATCTTATGTGAGGTTCTAGAACTGACTGTAGGTGTCACACAAAATTTAGACAACAGAGATTCTGAGGAAATCAACATATCCTACATCAAGGAAATAGATTAAAATGTGGTATGGTCTAAAGGTAAGAGGTCTGAACCAATATTTTAAACTACATAATGCAAGATATACTAATATTAGATTCTAAATATTTTTAAATATTTGTGATGTTACTTGTACTTGAACAAATGAATTTTGAACATGCTTCATAATTCTGAAACTCTGCCATTACTTAATGATGCTAAAATATGCATAATATCCTCTCCTCAAGGAATCTCGATGTGTTTTCCAAAATTAAAACTGTGTCCAAACTGAGTTTTCCAAAATCCTTAATTTTGAGTAATGCTGTTATCTTTCACCTCTGGAGTGTTCACAAAATCTATTTTTATTTTCTGAAGGAGTACAGCGTGTATATATTAAACACAGCTAAATGAACCGAGAAAGAAATCCAGATGTTTAACCATGAAATCTAAATTTTGAAAGAGTCTTTTGAAAATATGCTGAAATGTTTTCAAAATATCATGATGATCAAAACAAATTGTTATTGGAATGACCTTCACTGTAAGCAGTATTAACAATCCGGTATTATACAGAAAGCATACATCTTTTTTTGAAAAATCTTTGTAATTTTACCATTCAGTGATAAATATAAATTCCTGAAAATGCCATTCTTACCAGAAAACCAGTCAATATGGTTTTACATTAGAGCTTTTAAAAACTTAGTTTGTGGCCAGGCACGGTGGCTCACGCCTGTAATCCCGGCACTTTGGGAGGCCGAGACGGGCAGATGACGAGGTCAGGAGATCGAGACCATCCTGGCTAACACGGTGAAACCCTGTCTCTACTAAAAAATACAAAAACAACTAGCCAGGCGTTGTGGCGGGGGCCTGTAGTCCCAGCTACTTGGGAGGCTGAGGCAGGAGAATGGCGTGAACCCGGGAGGCGGAGCTTGCAGTGAGCCGAGATAGCGCCACTGCACTCCAGCCTGGGCAACAGAGCAAGACTCTGTCTCAAAAAAACACCAACAACTTGGTTTGAAACATGTATATATAAATGTATATATTTAAATATACATTGTGGCTATACACCTCTACCTTCTCTGTATTACTTATCTATGTTTATAGCTATTTATATACATGTATATGTATGTGCATATATATACATATGCATATATATGTGTAGAGAATAGAACTGTAGTTACTAGCAGCTTGGAAGAGTAGAGGGTAATAGGGAGAGATTGGTTAACAGACGTAAAATTTTAGCTAGAGAGCGGGAATAACTTCTAGTGTTCTATAGCACGTTAGGGTGACTGTAGTTAAAAATAATTTAGTCTATATTTTCAAATAGCTAGAAGAGAGGATTTCGAACGTTCCCAACATTAAGAGATGATAAATGTTCCAAGTGACAGATATGCTACTTACTCTGATTTGATCATTACCTATTGTATAAGTGCACTGAAATATCACTTTGTACACCCTAAATGTGTACAATTATTATAGGTCAATTACAAGCCAAAATAAAAAAACCACACAAATAACTCATAAGAATACAATATAACAATTATTCATATGGCATGTATATTGTATTAGTAATCTGGAAATGGTTTATAGTATGAGGGAGGATGTGGATAGGTTATATGCAAACACTGGGCCGTTTGACATAAGGGATTTGAGCATTCCTGGAGTTTCATATGGAGCAGGGTCCTGGAACTAATCTTCTGCGGATACCAAAGGATAATTGTATAAGAATCTTGGCAGCAAAATTGTGGCAGTTCAGAACTATAAAAAAAAGTCAAAGACAATGGGAAAAAAAGACTCAGTCAGGTGTCCTTATTCTCTGCTTTTGATGGGGCACTGAGACATTGCCTGTGAGGATTTGAGGATTGATTATTTCCTTGTGCTAAGTGTTTTCCTGAACTATGTGTTTTACCTGAACATTGAAAACCTACCACCACATCTGAGGGAAGAACTGTTGTTATTTACCTATCTTTCATGAGGCAACTGACACAAGTAGATATTAACTAACTTGACTGTTAGTTGCTGCTACTAAAGGGCAGAGATGATTCAGAGTGAGGCAGCTGCACTCCAGGGTTCCAGCTCTCAACCGCTGTGCTGCACTGCCTCCCAGGAAATACTGAAGTGCTAAGCATGGTTGCGGGTCTACGGATGATGCATTACAGTTTATGGACAGAAAAATAATCAAATGCTTCATCTGAAGAAATAAAGGATTAAGAACAATAGAACATAGATTCTTCAGAAACTGGATCATATGAGTAAGGTCACAGAAAAGTAAAAAAGTAACATTGTTGAGTTTTCTGCCTTTTCAATAAATTAATGACTTTAGGAAATATCTATTAGAGATATATAATTTTAAAATATACACACATATATATATATAAACTTTTATTCAGGTATGTTAGAGAGAACCAGTAGAGGGAGCTTTTAGCCGTAAGTTTACTTTCTATTGTGAAAGGAATTAATCAAATAATGTGTGAAGAAAAATAAATTCTAAATATGATTATTATTTACGTGATACTTCAAAGCATCCAAAAAATAAATTAAGAATGTTATTTTTTTCAGTTACTTTGGAACTCAGTTACAAGACATATTTTTATTTATAGTAACAGGCAAAATGTATTTATTGTGTACAACATGATGTTTTGATATATATGTACATTGTGAAATGACTAAATCTGGCTAACTATTCTATGCATTACCTCACATAGTTATCTTTTTTGTAGTGAGAAAACTTCACTTCAACTCAGTATTTTTGAAGGACCTAGTATATTATTAATTATAGTCACCATGTTATACAATAGAACTCTTGAATTTATAACTTCTGTTAACTGAAATTTTGTATCCTTTAATGAATACCTCCTCATTCCCCACCAGAAACCCTAGCCCCTGGTAACCAGCATTTTATTTATTTTATTTCTATGGGATGAACTTTCTTAGATTCCACATATGAATGAGATGGAACAGGTATAACGGGTTATGCATAAAGTGCCTTATGTACAGGTTATACATAACGTACCTTATTATACGCTTATAACTTATGTGTAACAAGTATAAGGTGAGATCTCATTGGGTTTTAATTTGCATTTATCTGATAATCAGTGATGATGAACATTTTTTTCATATACCTGTTGGCCATTTGTATGCCTTCTTTTGAGAAATGCCTATTCAGATATTTTGTCTTTTGTCTTTCTGTGCCTGATTTATTTTACTTAACATAATGTCCTTCAGGTTCATCCATGTTACTGCAAATGATAACACTTCGTTCTTTTTTAATGGGTGAATTGTATTCTATTGTGTGTGTGCGTGCATATAGATAGATATACAAACACACATACCACATTTGCTTTATCCATTCATCCTTTGATAGATGCTTAAGCTGATTCAATATCTTAGCTATTGTGAATAATGCTGCAATAAACATGGGAGTGCAGATATGTTTTCAAAATACTGATTTCACTTCCTTTGGAATATGCCTAGTAGTGGGATTTCTGTATCATATGGTAATTCTATTTTCAATTTGTTGAGGAGCCTCCATCCTGTTTTTCACAATTGTACTAATTTATATTCCCACAAATAGTGTGCATGGGTTCTTTTTCTCCACATCCTCACCAATACTTACACTTTCTCATTTTGATAATAGCCATTCTAACAGGTATAAGGTGATATCTCATTGGGTTTTAATTTGCATTTATCTGATAATAGTGATGTTCAACATTTTTTTTCATATACCTGTTGGCTATTTCTATGCTTTCTTTTGAGAAATGCCTATTCAGATATTTTGCCCATTTTTAAATCAGGCTATTTTATTGTTGCTGTTGACTTGTTTGAGTACCTTATGTATTTTGAATGTTAACCTTTTATCAGACATATAGTTTGCAAATAGTGTCTTCCATTCAGTAGATTTTCTCTTCGTTTTGTTTATTGTTCCTTTACCTCTGCAGAAGCTTTTATGTTTCATGCGTTCCCATTTGTATATTTTTACTTTTGCTGCCTGTGCTTTTGATGTCATATCTAAAAAGTTTTATTGCCCTGACCAATATAAAAATGCTTTCTTCTATGTATTTATCTAGTAGTCTCAAAGTTGTGGGTCTTAGATTTAAGTATTTAATCCATTTTGAGTTGATTTTTGTATATGGTGTGAGATGGGGATGTAATTTCATCATTTCACATGTGAATATTCAATTTTCCAAACAGCTATCAGGTTCTGGGCTCTTCTTTGACGGTAGACATTTTATTACTGATTTAATCTCCTTACTTGTTATTGGTCTGTTAAGATTTTCTGTTTTTTTTTTTTCATAATTCACTCTTGGTAGATGGTGTATATCAAGGAATTAATCCAGTTAAGCTAGGTTATCCAATTTTTTGGTGTATAATTTTTCATAATAGTCTTTGATGATCCTTTGTATTTCTGTTGCATCAGTTATAACGTCTCGTCTCTTTGTTTCTGACTTAGTCTTTCTCTTTCTGCCTTTCTTAGGCTAACTAAAGATTTGTTGATTTTGTTTATCTTTCTAAAAAAATCAACTCTTAGTTTTGTTGATCTTTTCTATCACTTTTCTAGTCTCTATTTTATTGATTTCTGCCCTGGTCCTTATTATTTTCATCTTTCTACTAACTTTGGACTTAGTTTGTTTTTGTTTTTCAAGTTTCTTGAGGTGCAATGTTAGGTCATTTACTTGAGATCTTCTTTTTTGATATAGGCATTTATTGCTATAAAACTTCTTAGAATGGATAAAGTAATTCTTAGAATTGCTTTTGCTCTCCCAGGGGTTTTGGTATTTTGTGTTTCCATTTTCACTGGTCTCAAGAAATTTTTTAAAGTTTTCATGAACATTTTTTCACAGACTCATTGATTGTTCAGAAGCACGTTCTTTAATTTCCATGCATTTGTAAATTTTCTGAAGTTTCCCCTGTTCAATCAAACTATTGATTTCTAGTTTTATATTATTATAGTCATAAAAGATACTTGGTATCATTTCAAAATTCTGATTTTTTATGAATTGTGGCCTACCATATGATCTATTTTAGAGAATGAATATGCATAGAATAATGCTTATTCTGTAGTTGTTGGATGGAATGTTATTTATATGTCTGTTACATACATTTGATCTAGAATGTAGTTCAAGTGTAAGTTTCTTTGTTTTCTGCCTGGGTGATCTGTCCATTGCTGTAAATGGGTTGTAAATCTCCTACTATTGTTTTATTGCAGTCTATATCTCTTTTTAAGTATATTAATACTTGGTTTGTATATTTAGGTGCTCCAGTTATGGGTACATACGTATTTACAATTGTTATATCCTCTTGCTGAATTAACCCCTTTATTATTAAATAATGACTTATTTTTACCTTTTTACAGTTTTTGACTTGGAGTCCATTTAATCTTATATAAATATAGCTACTTCTATTCTCTTTTGGTTTCTACTTGCATGGAATATATTTTTCTATTTATTCAATTTCAGTCTATGTGTATTTTTACAGGCAAAGTGAGTTTCCCATAGACATACCATTTAAATCCTGTGATATGAAAATTTGCCTTTTTGATGCTGTCACATAAGTTTCATAAGCTTTTTTTCAGTCCTTGTCATTCTTTATTTTTTTCTTCTGACTTTATATTTTCAAATAACCTGTCTGTAAGTTCACAAATATTGTTTTCTGCTTGTTCAGTTTTTCTTTTGATGCTCTCTATTGTATTGTTTGTCTTTCATTGTATTTTTCAGCTCCAGGATTTCTGTTTTTTTTTTTAATTTAATCCCTCTAATGAATTTCTCATTTTTTTACTTATTATTATTATTGTTTTATTTTGTTCACTTCTCTGTATTTTTTGAAGTTCTCCGAGCTTCTTTAAAATGGTTATTTTATATTATTTTCAGGCACTTCATGTATTGCTATTTCTGTATGATGTCACTGGCACCTTAAAATATCTGTTTGGTGTTGTCATGATTCTCATTGTTCTGATCTTTGTACTTCTATGTCAAAGCCTGTGCATGGGAAGTCATTGCTTATTCCAATTTTTATAGTCTTGCTTTTTCTAGGAAAGCCTTGTGGCAGGCATAGTTCTGGGGCGCATCAGACTCCTGAGCCAGTGTTGACCAGTGTAGCACTGCCAGAATCCTGGGTCCTGCTTTAGCTGGTACAATGCTGGGGCATGCCAGAATCCCTGGACAGCTGTGACTGGCATGACACTGCCAAAAGCCTGGAACCCACTACAGCAGGCTAGGTGTTGTGTTTGGCTGGAAGCCCACAGCCTCTGAGAATTGCTTGCTCCTGAGGGCTACCCAAAGCCTGGGACCACTGATGTCAATATGGCAGTTGTGTAGGCCAGAGATAAATTTCACTAAGCAAGCTTAAAGTGTGAGGCTATGTGGTCTCACCTGGTGAGACCTGGTGTCCTGGTGGGTCTATAGGCTCAGTCTGCTGGTACTGGTTCGGAATATGGAGCTATGAGGGGTCTGCTGGTGCAGAGTTTTCCTGTGAGTACCCAGTGTTGTGTCCAGGAAAAATCCTGTGCTCACATCCCTTTCATTCTATCTAGTGGATGGCATCTCTTTCCATACTGTGCTGCCTGGGGTTGGGAGAGGGGTGATGTGGGTATTGTAAAACTGTGATTCCTACCCTTTCAATGTGTCTTTTCTTATTATTGTACTACAACGAGGCACTGTGATCTCTCACGTGGTAAAAAGATCCTAGCCCTTGTGACGTTATTTTTGTGCATAGATAGCTGTTCAGATTGATGTTTCTGTGAAGGGATGCTTGCTGGAGAGTCCTACTCCACTGTCTGGCTCCCACAAGGCATTTTTGACTGCTCATCTGTTGCTGTGCTGGATATTATCATCCACAGGAGAATTGCAAAGATGGGTGCCTAGACACAACGAGCTTATAATTTTGCTGGTAAAATTGTTAGCTTATTAGAAATGTATTGTGAATGAAATTTATACATAATAGTGTATTGGCAATAAGCTTGACAAAGAAGATAAGCAAACAGGAGTTAGAAAGACCAGAGCACAGAGAATAATAGCTGTTCCCGAAAAGACAAAGGATATGAATTTATGGTGAAGACTGTGAAGGGAATTTTCGATGGGAAAATATTATGAGCAACATGGCTGATTTAGGAATGGGCATGGAGGGTGAGGAATCATATACATACAACCAAAATAAAAGGTTAATATGAAGGATATAAGACACAGATTTGAATATTGCATGAGGCCGCAAGTGCTGGCAAGGAGATGAAAGTGATCCAGATGGTAGTAGGAAATAAGAATACATTCTATAATGAGATTGCAGCAGGAATGGAGAGGGTACCGAAGGATGGAGCTAGAGGATAATTAGGAAATATAAAAAATTGGAAGGAAAAAACCCTAACAAGAGGCAATAGCAATAATCCAGGCATGAAGTGATTAACTTTGTTAGATGTGATGTGCTGTTTTTCAAGCCATATAATAAACTCTCCTTACTGAACAAAACAATAATTATGTGCTTTCATTCTCTTGCTTCTCCTTTTAGACTGTGTTAAAAAAAAAAAAAGAAAATTTAAGCTAGTTTTGGCAGTGTTCCAGTGAGCCAGTTTGTGGCATTTTTGTCCATCTGCCTTTACTTTCATGGTTTACTGATTGCTTATTTTGCAGTCTTTTGTTTATTTTATTTATTTCTTCATAAACTAAATAAATAACATTTATCTAAAGTATCAGCTGGATATAATGGGGATAGATGTCCAGGGTAATTTTCCATCATACTTAAAGTCTTCTTTAGGAGTACTTTTCACATTCCACTGCCAACCACTGACCACCAGTATGTTCACCTTTAGCCTTCAGAACTCACGGAAGAATAGGCAAGATTAATCGGATCATAAGGATCATATAGAAAACTTATAAAAATGGTAAGGGTAAAAAATATAAATTGGGGTCTTCAATGCCAGTCCAGAGTGTAATAATGAACAACTGTAAAGTTTATGTATGAGGTGATAATTTTAAGTCAACTCTTTTGAGAGATTAGCATGGGGTTGTCCTTAGAACGGACTGAAGAGCGGAAGATTAGCAGCAGAGAGAGAAATCAGAAGGCTGTACAATAGGATAAGTATGAATTGATTTCAGAGGGAATGAAGAAGATTTAAGTAGGTAATGAGAGAAGAGTAAAAAATCAATGATTTACTAGATGTAAAGACTGGAGAAAAAATGTCAAAGATGACTGATATACACAGTTTAAACGATTAGTACTGTAATAGATATATTCGGGAAACGAGCTAGTATTTAGTTGAAAATTGTGTGTCATTTTTAGGCACATTGATTTTTGGTACTCACAGTTGATATAGGCATATGTACAAATATTTTAAAGCTATTTCTCATATTCTCATAGATTCCATAAAGAAGACTAAAATTCTAAAGGTTGAATAGCCTTCATTTTTTTAAAAAAAGTATAGAACTCATTAGAAATTAGATTTTTTTCAGAAAAATATTTGGCTAAAAATAGTGAAATCTTTTTTTTTAATTTTATTTTAGATGTCTGCATCGAAACCCTGATAGGTATTTCATGCTATTTCTTTTCTGGAATGTGAAATCCAGTATTAAGTTTGATACATCAATCAGTATGCTATCCACTCTGACATAGTGAAATTGATTAGTAAAAAAACAATGCTTGTGTTGTAGAATTAAAATTTCCTTTTTCTTATTATTATGGAGAACACATGTCAGAGTCCATAGGAGGTACAAACAGGTATTCTATGACAAGGGACTTGAAAAGGTGGTGTGTTTGTGTCCCTTAAAGTTAAACCATCAGTGGACCTAATTAGCATAAGTTATAGATGCCTTTTTTCCTGAGGTTGACACCATGGAGTTATTTGTCAGGGATATTTTTCATCCCTGGAATTTGTCTTTGAATGCATCTTATTACAAACTAGTGATTCGACCAAATTATGGATGTACATCATTTGTGTTTAGCTAAATAGTCACTTATTGTGTAAAGACATTTTTTGGAAGCTCTAGAGTAATTCACTCTTCTATGCACTCCTGCCTATGCAGTGACTTTTTTTTTTTTAATGTGTCTTAAGTACTTGCCTGAAAATCATAACCATGCACAGTACAAGTGTCTGAGTAAAGTTACACAAATAATATTGTAATATGACAATACACATCCCTCAATTAGTAGCACCAAGAATAATGCCCTTGCAGTAGACCTGACAATTTCAAACACCATACAATAGGGAACAGCATCCAAGACAGCCAAACCCTCTGTCATGGCAGAAACAGAAACAGCCTGGGAAATGTTACCTCCATATTCACTTGTGGTAGTAATCATAACTGTTTATTGCTTAAATTAGAGAGAAAGTCCAGGAAAAAAATTTCTTATTTAGCTGAGTAGTTTTCTCATTCAAAAATGCATTTAACTTTAGGCCAGGAGTGGTGGCTCATGCCTGTAATGGCTCCCAGCACTTTGGGAGGCTGAAGCGGGCAGATCACTTGAGGTAAGGAGTTTGAGACCAGCCTTGCCAACATGGTGAAACTCTGTCGCTACTAAAAAATACAAAAAATAGCCAGATGTGGTTGCACGTCCCTGTAATCCCAGCTAATTGGGAGGCTGAGGCAGGAGAATCGCTGGAACCTGGGGGGAAGAGGTTGCAGTGAACAGAGATCGCACTATTGCACTCCAGCCTGGGTGACAAAGTGACACTCTGTCTCAAAAAAAAAAAAAAAAAAAAAAAAGCATTTAGATTTAAATAACATTTAATGAGAAAATGAACAACCTGGTTAAATATCAAATGATTAAACTTACATTAGATGTATAGAAGCTACCATCAAAATTAAGCCTTATTTACTGGGATGATTTCAAAGGTTTCTATTCTTATGCTGATTATTCTGTGATTATTTAAAATTGGTAGAAAGATCTGATTCTGGCTCACTCACTTCTGCTTCTTCCATTTAATTAGCAAGTATTTGCCAAGTAGTTATTATATAATTAGCATTGTGCTAGAGTCTTTACGATGCCAACATTTCAAGGAGCAAATTGCTTCTCTCAATGTCTGCATTGCTTGAAAATGGAGTTGTTAAGTCAAAACTCTTAAGCTGCCAGTAACTTTCTCCCTCTGTTTAATAGTTTACCAAGACCTCCAATGTTGGAACTATCTTGCATGTCACACCAATTAAATAAAATGGGTGAATATTTTCAAATTCAGTGGTGGTAAATGTTTCTAGAGGAACACAGCTGTGTGAGTGGGTGCAATAGAACTGGATTTGATATCAAGTGGCCTTCTACAAGTATGATTTTCCACAAAAAAAACACAAAGCTTAAGTTAAGCCCTGTTATTCCTACTTTCTCTACCTTCAGATTTGAGTGATAAAGACAATAGAATAAAATATATCCTCTAAGTAGAATATTTGCATTATGTAAGCTAAAAAGATTGGCTTTTTAAAACAATCAAGTGGTGAATATTCAACTCCCTAATCCAATCCTTTTTCTTTCAGAACAACTTTGGAATTTCAAGATTTCAAGGTTGTGTGCTCTAGGGCTTTGAAAGGCAGAGTAACTGAGGATAATTCTTTGCAAACCATAACAATATTAATAGAATCATCCCATCATGGTTTTAGAAAACAACAACAACCACCACCAATCCATTACTAAATTTTACACCCAATAACATTATTAAGGACCAAAATGGATTTAAGTTTTTTCACTTTATTTACAAACATCTAATGCTAGGCACCCAGAATTAGTCCTAATTGTGCTAGGTATTGCTCCTAGAGCTTTAAATTTATTATCTCATTTGATCCTCACGATAACCCTATAAGTTTGGTATCATTATCTTTTATTGAAGAAAAGAAGTCTAAGGCAAAGGTAAGTTAAATGACTTGCAGAGGATCACAAAGTCAGTGGGTGATTGAACCAAGATATAAACAAAGACAAGATATAAACAAAGGTATACTGACTTTGCCATCTTAAAAGTCTGTTAAGGCGGCTGGGCGCGGTAATCCCAGCACTTTGGGAGGCCAAGGTGGGTGTATCAGGAGGCCAGGAGATCGAGACCATCCTGGCCAACATGATGAAACCCCGTCTCTACTAAAAATGCAAAAATTAGCCAAGCGTGGTGGTGCACACCTGTAATCCCAGCTACTCAGGAGGCTGAGACAGGAGAATCGCTTGACCCTGGAGGTGGAGATTGCAGTAAACTGAGATTGTGCCACTGTACTCCAGCCTGGCGACAGAGCAAGACTCCATCTGAAAAAAAAAAAAAAAAAGAGGTCTGTTAAGGGTAACATTTGCCATTGGTAGATAAGGTTTCCCTTCACAAAAGAAGAGAAACTATGGCATATGTGCAGTCTATGCCTTCTGCCACCCACTAAATAGAAAGGGTGCATGTATCTTGGAAGAGACTCGTTAATCAAACAGATGTGCTTTCAATAATGGTGAAATCTCTTCATTAAGCACTGGCAGTAAGTCATTACAATATCTTCTCTAGCCTTTTGGCTGTGATCAAGGGTAGACTATCTTCTCATTAGGATAATGGGGTTCAATAAAAGAGTGTTCCATCGTTCTCCAAAAGGGAGTAGAGTGGAACTTTTTGTTAACTATAATCATTTAGTGATTCATTTTATCTTTTTTAGATCTTGTTAATTCATTGTTGCACAAGGTTAATCCTTTATCCACTTAGGCTATGGTTTTGACAAAATGTGTTGGTCATAAAAGTTAACTTCTTAAAAGACGTTAAAGACAGTTTCAATGAACATCAGTAACATAATGTGTGGAAATAAGAAAAGTATTTTGTTTCTATTTGCTTGCCCAGAGTGATATTAATTAAAGCATGATTTATATATTTTAAATGAAATAATTGAGGACATTTTTGACATATGTTTTCATTTTTTGTGGCAAACAAGATCAGGAGAAAATTATAAATATTTGAGTTAAACATGTATTTGGCAGTAATATTGTTTGTGACTAAGGTCAGTCCTTAGTCTCACAAGATTATATTATCATGTAAAAGTTATAACAATAATAGATCCATCAAAAATTGGAAAATATGAAAATGAGTCTCTCCCTTTGAGTTTTTTAATGCAATTTTACCAATCAAATATGACAATGATGAATAATTTTGCACATTTACTTTTAGTATCTTCCCCCTATGAAAATGCTTGTATTATAAAATTTTACCTACTGGTAATTACAGTTAACTCACAAACTTCCATCCTGATTATGCCTACTTACCATTAGATCAAAAGCATTTGCCAATCATATCCTTTTAAATAATCATTTGAATGGTTCTGATATTTCAATGATAAAATTCTGTGATTTAGTTTTATGCTTATAGTTGGATATTTGAATTATCCCAGATGTTTTTGCTATTATAGGTAACCTAGCAACAAAGAAGTTTTTTCCTATTATCTTTTTTCCATATTTGGGGATATTTCTGTAGAAAATAATCCCCAGAATTGAATTTATTGAATCAAAGAGTATAAAGCTCTTGATACGGAGTCCCTGAATTCTTAAGGAATATGTTTAATCCATCTATGTAGCTCTGGAAACTGGCTTACTACCTAGTATGCTCGTTACTTACATTTTTGAATGTGTTAAACTTTTAAGAAAACCTATTAAATGACTACTTTATGTGCATGGCTATCTGATAATAATCTTTTGTACTTATAATAGATTTTCCTAATATCTAATAAATTTTCACATACATTATCTGACCTTATACCTACAAAATACTTGCAAGGGGCACAAGGCAGACATTTTGATCATCACTTTTCAGAGAAAAAATAAAAAAGGACCTAAGAGAGATTAAGGATATGGCGTAGAATTTAGTCTTCTTACCTGGAACAGCAGTGGCTCCATTACATCCTATCTCTGTGTACATGTGCTTTACTACGGAAAGAATTTGAAATAAGTTGATTTTGTTTTCTTTTCAGTGAATAATTGCTTTTATTCTTAAGGAGGAAAAATGTCTGTCAGAATGATTTTGTCTGTTTTATAGTGAAAAATGCATACCACTCCTTAATCATCATCATACAATTTTTCTAAATGTTCAGTGCAAACATCAATATATGTTAAAGCATTATTTTATACGTTTAAACAGAAATGAAAGGCAAAGATCAAAGTAACCCATTAAACTCTATTTATGGTACTTAAAACATTAGTTAGGGCATTTTTAAATGTACTATGTGTGTTATGTAAGTGTGAGCTCTGAATTACAAAGTAATTTAAACAAATACGGATTCCTAAAAATTTCTCCCAGGCAAGTCCTTACATATAGATCCCCTATAATGGTTTAAGATAATTATGGACTGAATATTTCTTAGTTTTTTAAATTTAGAGCATTGATTGAACATTGATGAAATTTTTTCAACTTTAAAAATGTATTTTATAATATCTATCCAATATGATTGAATATTAAATTATTCACGGGATGAAACTGCCTGCTATAGGCTTAATGAACACAATGTACAAAATATACTAGTTTTCCGTCTTTTCTCCTTTTTTTAAAAATTTTTATTTACTTTTTGAATCAGGAAATGATCAACCTGATTTCAGAGATGAGAATATTAAAGCCCAGAGAGTAAAGTAGTTTGTCCAGATCTATGTGGTGTTTTCTTTTCTTTTCTTTTCTTTTTTTTTTTTTTTTTTTTGAGAAGGCGTCTTGCTCTGTCACCCAGGCTGGAGTACAGTGGTCGAATCTCAGCTCACTGCAAGCTCTGCTTCCCGGGTTCACGCCATTCTCCCGCCTCAGCCTCCGGAGTAACTGGGACTACAGGCGCCAGCCACCACGCCCAGCTAATTTTTTGTATTTTTGTTAGAGACGGGGTTTCACCGTGTTAGCCAGGATGGTCTGGATCTCCTGACCTCATGATCCGCCCTCCTTGGCCTCCCAAAGTGCTGGGATTACAGGCGTGACCCACCGCGCCCGGCCCCAAATCTATATGGTTTTTAAGGATCTTTGCTGGGGATTCAAAGCCTATTTTGTTCACTTCAAACCTCAGCTCTTCTCGCTGAACAAAAAGGCAATTAAAAGAATGATGATAGACAAAGTTGAAAGTTCACTAGTTTATAATTTTTAAAAATCCTATGCCACCATTTTTCTTTCAGTAGTTTAGACTTAATACGTTTTTGAAGATTTTAACTCAATGTAATGGAAAACATTTATAATATGATGGAAACATTTTTAATGAAGCTTTTCAACAAGGAGTTCTTAAAATAAATAAACTTTGTGGTCAAACAGAGATTAAATGGCTATCTATTAAGAACACTATGGAATTTCTATTCAAATTGGGTAGCAGACTAAATGACTTCTAAGATACAATCAGTTTGTGATTTAATTGGTTCTTGAATGGATCTGCCTCTGGCTTGTAGTCTTTATACTGTAAGCATTTATACAACAAGTCTGCAATTCAACCATTTGACTACAAATTGCCGTAAGTTTTTGGAAAGCTATTAAAGCTCCTCTAATTTTTACAAAACTCTCTTGCTAAAGTTATTGTGTAGCGAGGGCATACCATGTGTCAGGTATTATGAAAGTTTTCCTTCCTTCTTTCTCTTTGCAATTGCTCTATCTACCTATTTATCTAAAATCACACACATATATAACATATACATATATACATAGGTATACATGTACATGGATACATGTATGCGTATGTGTATCTTTACTAAATATGTATCTATACATATATGTGTATGTATCTATATGTATATGTATATATTTGTATCTATACATATATGTGTATGTGTATCTTTACTAAACCTAACAGCAGTTTTCTAAAGTAAACACTTTTATTACCTACACTTTGCTAGTGAACGTAAAGAAAGTGAAACAAATTGCCAAAGATTACATAACTGGCAAGTGGCAAAGCTAGGACTCAATCTCATGGACAAGTGACATCTAAGCCTTTATTCTTAACTACTAGATTATCTTATGATAATTTAAACTTGTGTGTATGTTTTATCTTTTTGTTAATCATCAGAGTCAATGATATTCAGCATCTTCTGCAGTACAGACCAAGGAAAACAAAGCCAAGCTGTCTTAGGCAGCCAAAAAATGACTATCCATGCAAATTAAATGTCACTATGTTTTACAAATTTGTCTTTACTATTAGACATCAACTAAAGTAGTTCAGAAAAGAGATGATAAAACCCTGAATGAGTGAAGCTATAGAGGAAAATGTGAATGAAAAATTAAAAAGAAATACTAAGTTTAAACAAATTTAATTGTGGTAGAAATTTAAATATAGAAGATGGATTTCAGGGGTTGTAGTATTACCACCTCAATATTTGGAGGATCTGTTTACATGTCTTCTCCTACCACTGGCAGAAGAGCCTTGGGGTTAGAACTTTTTCTGTCCCTTGTTATCTTCTCAGTATCTCACCTGGACCAATGCTATGGCATGTTTTCAAAGATAACCTAGTAGTGGTGATGAAAGGCACAGTTTCTTCATGTTTAAAGATGAGCCATGGGTTTCCTTTTATATTTTCTCACATAGACTCCCAGATCTGTGAGGTCCTGGAATGTACAAGTGGTTATCCTCATAAATTAGCTAACACCAGAATTCATCTAGTAGCATAGAGCAAAGGATTGCTCTGCCAACATCTGAACAATCAAATCCTGGCCCAAACAAGCCAAATTATCTCAACATCAACTCATATTCTTACCACATCCTGATGTTCCTATGCTGATATTGCTTGATCATACAGATTCCATTTTGTTCTCCTATTTGAGAGTTTGAGAATCTGCTTCTCTTCTCTTTCCACCCCTACCTCACCCTCCTCCCTTGGAATTAGAGATTGAATGATCTCGGACATCTTGATAATCTCTCCTCTCTGCTCTGTATGCTCAGCTACTCGTCTTACAATCATTAATTTTTAAAATTTAACTACATGAGTGTGCCATTTGTTTTTCCCACCTCCAGGGAAAAGAGATGAACTTGACTCATGATTTTGATCCCATGATTCATCCTCAGCCCTTGCTGTTGGATGTGGCGGAACACTCACTAGTCCTTTAATAAAGATCAGATGCTGTGTGGATACTGGTGGGCTTCTTGAGCAGGTTGCTATTGCCTACCTAGAAGCATTTGCCGAGGATTTTCTTTTCTTTTGTCGTCAGTGCTATAATATGCCACAGTCTTTAAATTGACCTCAGTAGTGTCTCATTGAACTTAATATTTAGTTCATTTTTCTGCTGACTTTTGAGAGGTGGCATGGCCAGAAATGTATATAGTGATTGTATCTTTTCTCTTTTTGCCTTATGAAATTTACTTAACTATATGGCTTACTAAATATATAACTGGAGAAATTAAATAGCAAAAATTTTACTACTTTTTCCATGAAAAGTTAAGTGTTTATGTAGTAATTAATTGCTTAGTCCAGCTTCCTGAGATATAAAAATAATGCTGATAGGCATTAACAGGCGATATGATTCACTACTTTTACTCATTCATTCAATTTTATATTCCAAAGAACATGTTTTCTAATAAGAGGATAATTAAATGTTTACAAGTGTTATCTTGGAAGTAAATCCAACAATAATTTATAATAATAAAATGGTGTTTGGGTTATACATGTGGCACTGTCTCAAAGAGTCTTAATAGCATGGGAAAATTAGTTTTATTGTGCAGATATATTAATAAATTTAAAGATAATCAGGATAACTTTTGAACATTTACAAATGCTCAAATTCGAGCATACAAATTTGAGTATACAAATTTGAGCATACACATTTGAGCATACAAATTTGAGCATACAAATTTAATTAAAGTATTTTTACCTTTTTGCCAACCTAACATCCTTACGTGAGAATAGCATATAATTACATATCACTATAAAGAGCACATTGTAAGTTATTTACATATTGTTAGACTGTTAGAATGTTACCTGCTAAATTGGAGTGGGAACTAAACACACATACACACCCACTGACTGAGTCTGGCACATTTCTGGGTCTTCCTTTCCTTACAGGAATTAAAGTTCTTGACTAAGTGATTCCTAAGTTTTTCCCAAGTATAACATGGGTATACATTTATGTTTCTAATTTTAAAGAGGCTACTAAATCTTACATTTTATCATGCTCTCTAATTCCTCTTTTTTTTATTTTTAAATTTTACTCTAAGTTCTGGGATACATGTGCAGAATGTGCAGGTTTGTTACACAGTTATACATGTGCCATGGTGGTTTGCTGCACCCATCAATCCGTCATGTAGGTTTTAAGCCCCACATGCGTTAGGTATTTCTCCTAATGCTCTCCCTCTCCTTGCCCCCAACCCCCGACAGGCCTTGGTGTATGTTGTTCCCCTCGCTGTGTCCTTGTGTTCTCATTGTTCACCTCCCACTTATGAGTGACAACATGCAGTGTTTGGTTTTCGGTTCTTGTGTTAGTTTGCTGAGAATGACGGCTTCCAGCTTCATCCATGTCTCTTCAAAGGACATGAGCTCATTCTTTTTTAGGCCTGCATAATATTCCATGGTGTATATGTGCCACCTTTTCTTTATGCAGTCTATCGTTGATGGGCATTTCTGTTGGTTCCAGGTCTTTGTTATTGTAAATAGTGCTGCAATAAACATACGTGTGCATGTGTCTTTATGGTAGAATGATTTATCATCCTTTGGGTACGTACCCAGTAATGGGATTGCTGGGTCAAATGGTATTTCTGATTCTAGATCCTTGAGGAATTGCCACACTGTCTTCCACAGTGATTGAACTAATTTACACTCCCACCAACGGTGTAAATGCATTCCTATTTTTCCACAGCCTTGCCAGCATCTATTGTTACCTGACTTTTTAATAATTGCCATTCTGACTGGCATGAGGTGGCATCTCATTGTGGTTTTGATTTGCATTTCTCTAATGATCAGTGATGATAAGCTTTTTTTCCTATGTTTCTTGGCCGCATAAATGTCTTATTTTGAGAAGTCTCTGTTCATATCCTTTGCCCACTTGACGGGGTTGTTTTTTGCTTTTAATTTGTTTAAGTTTCTTGTAGATTCTGGATATTAGACCTTTGTCAGATGGGTAGATTGCAAAAATTTTCTCCCATTCTATAGGTTGCTGATTCACTCTGATGCTAGTTTCTTTTGCTGTGCAGAAGCTCTTTAGTTTAATTAGATCCTATTTATCAATTTTGGCTTTTGTTGCCATTGCTTTTGGTGTTACAGACATAAAGTCTTTGCCCATGCCTATAACCTGAATGGTAATGTCTAGATTTTCTTCCAGAGTTTTTATAGTTTGGGGTTTTACATGAAAGTCTTTAATCCATCTTGAGTTAATTTTTGTATGAGGTGTAAGGAAGGGGTCCAGTTTCAGTTTTCAGCATATGGCTAGCCAGTTATTCTAGCACCAAATTCCCAATTAGCCAAAAATTGGTTTAAGTGATTCATAAATCTCAAGTAAATCTGGATGTTAAAGGTTGAACCTTAATAATAATTACAGAGTAAATGGAAAGTGAGTGAATCTCACTGGACTTGTTTCTTTAGAGCCAAGGGTTGAGGCAGAGTTCATAGAGCCTGACTTTTATGGATTCAAGTTGTGCAGGATTTTCTGACCAAAGCTTCATCCTGTGATTTCATCTTGGTCAGTTAAATCTAAATAAATTCTACTGTCATTTACTAAAATATTTAGGGCATTGTTATGCAATCTAAGATTATTTACACTTTAATAAATACATGAAAATTCTAATTGTATTTATTGTGTCAAGTTTTCCATTGCAAACACTGATTTATTTTTTTCAGTCAAATAATAACTCAGGAAAAAAAATAGACCAGGTGAGGTTTCCTTACACATTATCCATGCTACCATTTATTTAAGAAACATATTATTGATCTTTTATGTTTTTGCAAATTCCATGTAATTAAAAAAAAAATGTAAGAATGGTCAATATCTGAACTTGCTTCTGTGTTTTCCATGATGACCTATTTATGTTGCATTATAGAATTTAACCAACTGTGTATGAAAGTTTAGATGATATTAACATGTGAGTCAATAAGAAAAGAACTGTTATACAGAAATATTGGAATGATTTGACTTTCAATATTCTATACTCAATTGTATGCAAGTTAGATAAAATCATGTTGAATTTTATCTCATGTACGTTACCAAAGCAATACAAATTCCTTAGAAGTTATATAAGTAAAAATAGATTTATTTTTAAATTATCCTGGAAAACATTGTCTTGGTATTCAAACCATTTTCACCTGTGTTTATCATCAGAGGTTTCCATCTTTTAGAACATTTATTTACCAGTTCTCTTGTATTTTTCTCAGCTGTCTGTTTGCCATATGGTGTTACTTTCAGAATTCTCTGTAATACTGAGAGGTTGTGCTTGTGGTAACATAGGATAAAATTCCATGCAGACTTGAATATTTGAAATCTTACTATATGAAGATTCAACCTATACGAAAATAGAAGCTTAACCATAATTTATAGGTATTATGTTAGAAAAATCCCAGCTATTTCTACATCTATTTTTTATTCTTTTGTGGACATGTAGATACATTCTTAGCAGGCAGATCTGGCCTAAGGCAAGCTAGTGGTATAGCAACATTGGCTTTCCTGCTTTCAATAAGACACAAGTTTTATTCCCCCTGAAGTTTAATGCCTCATATCTTAATATTCTCTTTTGATTCCCTTAAGGCAACCACCCATGAAAGTTGCATTCAGACTCTTCATTCTCAGAAGGTATACTCAAATGCTATTTCTTCCAGAGACATTTTAATTCTAGTAGGAGTCAAACTCGTAAAGAAAATGGTTGAAACTCTGAGACAAATTGATAGGTAGCATGTATAGTTAAGCCTGCTATAAACAGTAAAAGAAGCAACATAAGGTAGAACATTTTCCCCTCCAAGGAGAAAAAATCATGTCCGTTAAGTATATTTTGATTCATTTTTTATTGTAATTTTTGTTATCCCTGGAAATAGAACAAAAACATGTGTCAGCTGACTACCATTGAACCTGTACACACCCTGCTTCAGCTTTTATCCAATGAGAAATAAAATTAAGTCATGTAGGTTGTTAGAGTCTCTCTCTCTCTCTCTCTGTCTCTCTCTCTCTCTCTCTCTCTCTTTTTAACTGAACCTGGCTGCAATAATAATACTGACCTTGACTGTGACCTCTCTGTGTGATAGTTCCATTGCTGTGCCTTAGAGTCGAATGGTATCTCTACAGTTTTTTCAGAATTCTTGGGTAAAAAATGTAGCAGGTGTTGTCAGGGGTTAGGAAAGAGAGGCTATTTATTCTTTCCCTGTAGTTTTGGATGGAAATAAATACTTTTTAGGTGATCTGTTTCTAAGAAGTGCAGTTTTCCGGAAACCACACACCGTATTCTCAAAACTATTTTCCTGTTTCTTCCTTAGCATTTAGTCTAATCATCTCAAAGTAAAGGATTATTCTTAATAAAAGAAAATACGGCTGCTCACATTAAATTTGCTTCAAGTCCAGGAGAAAACCTGCTTCAAATTTTTTAAAGACATTTTTGCCTCCATTGTATATGGATTATTAGCCCAATTTATAAGAGTAAGTGCCAGAATACAGTCTTTGGTGGTATTTTAGGGTGATACTCTCCTGCAATGGGATTGATTTTAGAATTTGTAGGGTATATACTAGTTGAGGATGTAATTGGAATTTGTGCCTGTAAACCTATAAGCTCCAATCCTAAAAGACACATGTTTATTCATTCAAAAATATATATCTAGCATTGGTGTTGTCGGTTACTTTGCTGGGCATAAAAACTCAGAGATGAATCAGACACAGTAGAGAATGTCTGCAATCTATAGGAAATTATATTCTGAACAGGGACGGACTCAAAAGTGTATGTGTGAATATATGTGCTCTTTTAAATCCAAGAAAAATATTTTCCACATCACCAATTGTGCCACTGAAAAATAAATTGTTATTGGTATACAGTGGCATTTGAAGATATTAGAAAACTCAAATCAAAAAGGGAACATTGCTCTGCCATGAATAAATGATGTTTATACTTCTCTTTGCAAACTGCTATGTCACCTCCAGGATAACTTGTCAAGTGCATTTTCATATTATGTTTCAAATAACACTACCCAATAAGTGGAACTTAGAAAAATGTATCAGTGTGCATATTCTTATGTTCTGAATAATAAGAAATGTGAAATGTCAAGTGATGAACTAATAGCAAACAAATAATTCAAACCTCTCTAGGTTAGCTTGCAACACAGAGTCAGAAAGTGCATCAAGAAAATGTAACAGTGTGCAGAATGAATTTGTAAACTGATTTATTGACACATTCAAATGATACAGTGCTATTTATAGGACACTGTACTATAGATGTTCCTGCAGTTACTGGAGAAGAAACTCTTGTCCTGTGGGGTCTACAGTGACTGCCTTGCTTCAATAACATATGTTTATTTGCCATATCGTTGTCCATTTTCTAAAATAGAATATACTTTGTAAGGATTTTCAATAAGTTTATGAATATGAAACGAAAGTGGATGACTGAAGGAATTTTCTAGGCTTCATTAGTTGACATGCACTCTTTTTGAGTTAAATAATATGATATTCTAGAATCTAAATTGATTTTCTATGAAAATAGAAACAAAAATAGGAAAAAATAATATTTTGATCTACTCCGTTGGTTTACATGAATGCCTGCAAAAAATAAGTAATTTTGACTACCTACAAAATTGTATTTTTGCACATACCTTATAGTGTCTCTTGTTTTAACTAAGATGAATTTATGATAAAAACATGAAAAAAAATCAAGTGGTTAACTCTAATTTGTTTATTAAGCTATGTTAGTAAAAGCAACTAATACTGGCCTATGACTTTCCAATTTAAAAAGAATTTTGTGTCATTTCATTGAACTCTCCATTAGCATAGTGGTATGCTTGATAACATTATCTTCTGGGCAAAATTAGTTGTACTACTATAAGTACCCATATCACTTTCTTGCGGCATTGACATCTCTAGTATAGCACTTGATAGTATATGGTAGGTATCTTTTCATATCTTTTCTAGACTCTCAAGTCTCATTAAGCAAAAGATGTTTATTATCTGCGCCAGTCACACACTTCCCAAATTCAATATATACACACGGGCTTCCTATTGGTAGTAAGACTTTATTAACTTTGATTGAGTTATTGTTTCACCAAATCGAAAACTGAGGTTCCAAGATGTTAATAAATGTACCCAAGAATGCATATGAATGAGAAGTAGACCAAAATGCAAAGGTAGGTCCTCTAATTCTAAATATCAGTTCTTTCTAAAATCTTGATCTTCCAACCTTTCCTGTTCTTAGCGCATTTGAAATTATAGGTCTACACAGTATAAGAAACATTATTAAAATGAATACAGACATATTTTAAATAGTACTAAACATTTGTGTTATAACACGTATATATGTAATTTTTCAGAACTGCTTCCTATATACAGGTCACAGGGCACTGCCTCGTGGTTATTTCTAATCCACCCCACAGTTCAATAACTCAGAATTGTAAAATGTGATCAAATAAAGTAATCATGATGCCAAATTCCCTTAAGGATGCATCATTTTTAAAAGTTTCTTAATATGAACATTTCGAGTCAGTGATTTAGACAGCTTTGAATATCAATTTTTCATGAAAAAGAACAAATGCGATGACATAAGCAGACAGTGATCCACTTGTGTTATGAAGGTAGCAGTAAATGGGTGACAATTTCTTGAAATCCAGATATGTTCAAATGAGCAGAGTTGGCAGCGTGTCCTAGGCTTTTTTGACAAAGGAATGCAGTGTCATTATCTATTACTTTGATGATTTATCTACGTCACAGTAACTGCTTCAAACCTAGAAAAAGGTAAAGGGGCAAAAAGAATTATTTTTCATTGTTCTGCTATGAATCCATATCAGCATTTAGGGGTTTGTTTTATAATGTTCCTTAAATAAGTTTAATTTCTTTACATAAGCAAGTGATAATTAAGTAAGCACTTTTTTGATAGTAAGGAATAAGCTCACTTTTAAAATTCTGTTCTCTCACAAACATTTCATGACATTATAGAATCCAGAAATGTCAGCTATAAAAGAGATCCCAAGGATGATGTTCATTTCTCCTGCTTTACAAATGGAGAAACTGAGATTCCACATGAATATGTCACTTGATCAAGAGAGTTGACAACTAAATGGAAATTAGAACTTAAGTTTTCTAAATTCAGGTTCAGAGGCCGGCTTCAGTAAAAATATAGGTGTTGGGAAAATAGTACAGTGATTTCCATGAGATTGCAGCCATCTCTTCATTATTATGGTCATGAATATACATATCTCATTTATTTTTCACTGCTATGGCTCTATTTCTTATTTCAAAATGTAAAAACAGCAACTTTTCTCATCTCTTGGTGGCTATATGAACTTCAGCAATACAGAATTCAGTGGATTGGGCCTTCTCCATTTCCTATTTACTTCTGATTACATTGTTTTCTCATGATGCATTTTGTTTTCCCATCTGGAATTCATTCTCTGGGAATCTCCTCTCTGAGAAAGCTTCAAAACCAAACAGTGTTTATTTTTTGTAATGACATTGCTTGCACTTTCATTCTGTAATATCTCCATTCAGAAATCTTTAATTGTTCCCAATTCCTTTCTAGATGAGATCGCAAATTCTCTGCTTAGCTTTCAAGGATCAGCACACTTTCAATCACTTTTTCTTAACACTTCCCAAAACCCACCTGGCGTATTAATCAAACTGACTTTTTGTAGCCTCTGATTAGTTTCATTTCTGTACCTTTGCTTGTTTCTGTTTTCCTTTTTTCCTGCCCACAAAAGATGTAAGATCTCCTTTAAATTGTGAAAATCTCTAGATTGTAGTGCTTCTCTTCTCATGCACTCCTGGCTGTGTGAACATAAAACATGGAAGAGGTTATCCCAGGTGTGGTGCTCAACTGTCTGGGTGAGGCTTTGATCTCCTGAGTTCTGGTCTCTGTTTGCCGCTGTATTGGTGATTTTCATGCTGCTGATAAAGTCATACCAGAGACTGGGCAATTTACAGAAGTAAGAACTTTAATGGACTCACAGTTCCACGTGGCTGGGGAGGCTTTGCAATCATGGCAGAAGGTGAAAGGCACATCTCACATGGTGGCAGGCAAGAGAAGAGAGCTTGTGCAGGGAAACTCTCCTTTCTAAAACCATCAGATCTTGTGATAGTTATTATGATCAAAAGAATAATGCGGGAAAGACCCACCCCATGATTCAACTACTTTCCACAGGGTCCCTCCCACAACAAGTGGAAATTGTGAGAGTTAAAATTCAAAATGAGATTTGGGTGGGGACACAGCGAAATCATATCACCGCCTACACCTGACTTCCTTTCTGATTCTTCTTTCCTGATTAGAACTTTCAGGACTTGAATCTCTCCTCTCCTTCCCTTTTTAAGACCAGAGTTAAGCTTCAACTTGCTTATTTCAAAAACCTCCTACTGAGAAGCACTATCAATTTGCTACTTATCACTGGTGATGATGGCAAAATGATCCAATCAATTTTCTTCCTTCAGTTCCATCTAAAATGAGTGCACACCCACATATATGTGTTGAAATGACTTACTTTTTGTTTTCTTTTGGATTGGTATAGTTTTTTTATTTTTCATAAAATCTGTCTGAAAACAATTTTATTTAGAAATTAAACATTATCAATACTATATGTCAAGGCAAGCAACTTTCTTTGGAATATAATATATCCTAGAAATCAATGCAACATATTTTTACGTTTAGATTACCCCCAGATGCCCAGAGCATTTCTTTACTGGTGAAATACAGAATTCTTGGACTTGACACTGAGAGGAAGTGTCAGCAGTGATCTAAAAAGTATTTCTTCTTAAAATAAGGGAAATGTGTGTGCTTAAAGACAGAGACATTAGAAAGGGGAGGATGAACAGATTATATTTTTTAAAAAATGGTTAGGCCGGGCACGGTGGCTCACGCCTGTAATCCCAACACTTTGGGAGGCCGAGATGGGCAGATCGCCAGGTCAGAGATCAAGACCATCCTGGCCAACATGGTGAAACCCCATCTCTACTAAAAATACAAAAAAAATTAGCTAGGTGTGGTGGCACATGCCTGTAATCCCAGCTACTCAGGAGGCCGAGGCAGGAGAATAGCTTGAACCTGGGAGTCAGAGGAGCTGAGATCACGCCACAGCACTCCATCCTGGCAACACAGTGAGACTGTCAAAAAAAAAAAAAAAAAAAAAAAAAAAAAAGGTGGGTGGGGTGGGGTGGGGTGTGAGAGCAAGGTCCCTCAGAAGTTATAAATGGATGGGCATTAGTGCATAGCTATCTTTATTTTCCAGGTTACCCCTTATGGAAAAAGGTTCGCAGTTACCATAACACCAATTAATAAAGCCATATTTGCTGGAAAAATCTTATTCAACAGCAAAGTATCACAGTAAGAGAAAGGACGTTTAGTAATTTAATATATAAAAATAAACCTTCGGTAGTTTTGCCTGAAAGAAGGCCAGTAAGTATCTTAAACATCTTAGGGAGCTTTTACAAGTGCTGTAGCCCTTGCTTTCTGTTTTCTAGTTAAGCAAACTTTATTGCTTTCACCAATGAGTTACAGAATCTATGACTGGTAATTTTAGTCAAAAACATGAGTTCAATTAGATGTGAAGATACAATCTTGGCATATGTTCTTAAATGAGCCAAACCTCCTATTTTAATAAATAAGGTAAATGAGCCCAAATCCATATTTTATGGCCATTGCTCAGTGAATGACTACACACACTATTCAGTCACCCACATAAGAAATCAGTAATTTTTGTCATTCTTCTTCCTATTACTTCTCACATCTGGTTGAAAAACAAATTCAGTCACCTTCTAAAATATCTTTCACCACTTTCTTCTCTTGTCATTCCACTGCCACTGCCTTCATTCACCTCTGTATCATCTCCAATTTACCTTTTTTTTTTTTTTTTTTTTTTTTTTTTTTTTTGAGACAGGGTCTGGCTCTGTTGCCCAAGCTGGAATGCAGTGGCATAATCTCGACTCATTACAACATCTGCCTCCTGGGTTCAAGCCATCCTCCCACCTTAGCCTCCTAAGTAGCTGGCACTACAGGCACACACCATCACGCCTGGCTAATTTTTGTATTTTTTGTAGAGATGGGTTTTCACCATGATGCCCAGGCTGGTCTCAAACTCCTGAGCTCAAGCTATCTGCCTGACTTGTCCTCCCAAAGTGCTGTGATTACAGGTGTGAGCCACCACACCTGGAGACTACTAATTTATACTGGTGTATAATAGTGTCCAAGTTTCTAGAACATTCGTCCAATAATGGCTGTACCACCCAGATATCAATGTTTTGTTTCTTCTAAAATATAGATATAACCATATCATATAACTACACTCAATGAAGGAGCCGTTTCAGTGGTTTCTCAAGGCCTACAGAATATAATTCACATTTACTGCATGACATTTACTAACCTGTGAAGTCTTGAATCAAAGATACCTAGATTCAAACATAATAGGTATCCAATACAGATTTGTTGATAGAAAAATGAGAGTATGCCAAACAGGGTCAAATGAATAAGATTATTCAGTTTGCCCTCGGCATTCCTTTTTGCTCATCTGTTCTGTAGATTCAATGATCGCCACCTTCCATACATCCACTGTGCATTCATTCTGACACTGGTCACTGTCCCATATGCCAAGAATACAGAAGCAAACAACACAACCCTTACGTCCACCCTAATAGGGTTAATAACTCATAGTAGAGTCAGATATTAAACAAGTTAATACGCAGATGAATGCAGAATTACTAATTGTCATAATTGCTGGAAGGAAGGAAGGAAGGAAGGAAGGAAGGAAGGAAGGAAGGAAGGAAGGAAAATAGGAAAGTGTGTTCCCTGAAAAGAGAGGGAAGCAGACTAAATTTAGTGTAAGTGATGGTGAACTCAGGGAAGCACTTGCCTCCTGAGATTTGATGTAGGACATGATCATTTATCCAAGAGAAAATGTGAAGAAGAGCACTTTAGGCAGCGAGAACAAGTGTGTTTGTTCTGTTGTTGTTGCTGTTTTTAAGTTTGTTTGTTTTTGTCTCTTTCTTGAAGATGCTATACATTCCCATATTTACACTTTATTGTGATATTGACTCTGTTGCCTGGAGTGCTCTTCTCTGTCATTTTATGTGTAGTGAAATTGTTCTTATCATACCATCTTTTTTTTTAAATATTAAAACTGTCCTTACCCCTTCAGGCAGAACTTACCTTGCCTCCTCCCTTTGTTCACTCCTTTCAATTGCGATTATCCCATTGCTTATAGCTAACTGGGTAATTTATTTTTCTCTAGAAGACAAGCCTTCTAGAAGGGGATACAACTTCTTTATTCAATGGTAGGTCCTCCGTGTTATTGAAGACATGAGGAGAAATGAATTCAGATTACTGGGAGACAAAGGGGAATATTTTTCAAATCGCCACTTCAAAGGATAGTATGCGACTCAAAATCTAAATATATTTAAGAAAGATATAGTTAATTAATGCCAGATTAACAGAAATTAAAATAAATGAATATTATTTTAACATAGATCCTTACATTGTTTAAGATAAATTCATACCCAGGGGACTAAATATTCTCCAACTTATTTTCCTTGTTCATTAGAGACAAAAAGTTGATTTGGATTACTTAGAATTAAAACCTGTTGTGAGAGCCCTTATATAGAAATTTTAATAGAATCATGTCTAGATAGAAAATAACACAGTTTACATTAAACGTCTACTTTCATTACAGCATACTTGGCAAAATATCACATTTTGTCTTGTTGTGGGCTTCCATTCTTTGAATGTTACTGAAGCCCAGTTCCTAAGAATCCCTGGCCAGGTGTGGTGGCTCACACCTGTAATCCCAGCACTTTGGGAGGCCGAGGCGGGAGGATGACAAAGTCAAGAGTTTGAGACCAGCCTGGCCAACATGGTGAAACCCTGTCTCTACTAAGAATACAAAAATTAGCCGGACGTGGTGGCACATGACTGTAATCCCAGCTACTTGGGAGGCTGAGGCAGGAGAATTGCTTGAACCCAGGAAACAGAGGTTGCAGTGAGCTGAGATCGTGCCAGTACACTCCAGCCTGAGTGACAGAACAAGACTCCATCTAGGGAAAACAAAAAACAAACAAAAAAAGAATCCCTGTAGTAGTCTGTTCTCACACTGCTAACAGAGACATGCCTGTGCCTGGGTAACTCATAAAGCAAAAAGATTTAATGGGCTCACAGTTCCACGTGGCTGGGGAGGCCTCATAATCATGGTGGAAGGCAGAGGAGGAGCAAAGTCATGTCTTACATGGTGGCAGGCAAGGTAGCATGTACAGGGGAACTCCCCTTTATAAAACCTGCAGATTTCATGAGACTTATTTACTATCATAAGAACAGCACAGGAAAGACCTGCCCCCATGATTCAATTACCTCCAACTGGGTCCCTCCCATGACATGTGGGAATTATGGGAGCTACAATTCAGATGCGATTTGGGTGGGGACACTGCTAAACCATATCAATCCCCTACAAAGCCCACAACATGTGGGAATTATGGGAGCTACAATTCAGATGCGATTTGGGTTGGGACACTGCTAAACCATATCGATCCCCTACAAAGCCCAGCAAAGTTGGCTTCCATCCCAGTCTTCTGCAGTCTCTCTGGCCACTTTCCGTCCTGTTTACCTCATGCTTCTGCTCCATCCTCACTGGCCTCCTAGGACCTCTGAACATACCCACCTTGTTCCTGCTCCGAGCCTTTTGACTGGGGTTTGTTGTGCTAGAATTACTACTCCACAGATATCAGATAACCCTATGGCTTGTTCTCTCTTTTCCATTAAGTTCTGCTAAAAATGATACCTTATCAGTAAGGCCTTCTGAAACCTCTAATTTCAAGGATGCTTATCCATTCACCCATACTCCTCATCTTCCTGTCATGCCCTATTTTCCCTATAATTAACACCATCTGAAATACTGTGTATTTTTTTTATTATTTACTATAATATGAAACTCTAGGTTGTTCACTGTTGTCCCCCAACTGTAGGCACTCTATAAATTGTCATTGAAGGAAATGCATATTAACTTTGCACTCAGCGTCACTGGGTAGTTAATACTATTTTTCAAATGTTATAAAATCAATATATGTTAATTGAAGAACATTTCCAAGCTGTAGAAAATAGAAGAAAATGAAAGTCAACAATTATCTAGCAATCAGTACAGTACCATGATTGACATTTTGGTTTACATATTCTTTCAGTCATTTCTTTACCTATAAATATCTATTTCATAAAATGAAGATCATATTATAAATACTGTTTTATAGACTACTTTTTTAGCCTATCATGCCATAAACATTTGTCAATTGATTAAGGATTTTTCTACAGCTTCACCCTTACTGGCTCTATAGCGCTCCATTTTTCACTCTGTACCTCTTGATTGCATGGCCTAATCTGAAGTTACTTAAGCCAAGTACACTGGGAAAATGCTTACCTACAGCACTTAGTTATTTAAAGCTAAGTGGGTTAAGTAGTCTAGGAAATAGACTTGGTTTTCAGTAAGTACATTGCTTATTGCTAAATGCTAACTTTCAGTTAACCAGTTAATGAAACCAGAGGGTCAAAAATTGCAACATTTACCAGTGGACCAATAAATTACAATTCAAATGAGCCCAGCCCTTAGGAAGATTGTCAATCAAAGCTTTAAGAGTACTCAAGTTCATTTAGTCATATTGTGATTGACCTTGACGGTCTTCAGATTATTGGTTTATTAAAAGTTCTAGGTAGCTCGACCTTCTTACGAGACTGTAGAATTTGAGTTAAAAAAAGAAAAGTCTACTGTCACCACTGTGTTAGAGATTAAAACCTCTGCCTAGCTCCTGGGTGGTGATTCAGTTTTTGAATACTATTTCCTTTTGTTGCATGAAGTTATAAAATTAAAACTTCAATTTGTTTTCCAGATTACAGCTAGGGTAAAAATTGTTTTTTATTATTTTGTGTTGTAGAGTTTTTTTTTTTCTTTTAAATTAGAAGATCAAGTTCGAGGAGTCAAAAGCTTAATTTAAAAAAAAAGCCTCACAAATCTATTTCATTTCTAGTACATTACAGTTCAGTAGATAATTTGAAACTGATTCATCTGTTATACCATCTGTTGGAAATATGCTACAGCTGTTAAATGTCCAGCAAAATTTGAACTACTTCTCGAAGTAATTTGCCCTTGGTACATGCAGACCAGACAATTTTTTATTTGATTTACAACCAAGATTTCTCCAAACATGACCGATTTTCTAGCTATACTACTTTTATTTCATTATTATTTTTAAACATAGCTATTAGACAAACCAAAATAGAAAATGAAAGAAATCTGAACTAATTTTTAAGATTAAAAATAATGAATTTATTCATTGCCATAAGCTATTAAAATTGCATTGATTGTGTTCAATATTTTTCAAAATATATGAAGACTTCCTATGGTGTGCCCTACATTCTGCATATTGGGAAAGAAAAGAAGTTCCCTTCCTCAGAAGAGGATTATTGGCAGAGAAATCAACATATAAACCAATATTGATCATAATAGATTTTCAATGATACAGAATGAAAATATTATATTAGGAACACCAAAGTCTTATGTTCTTTTTAAGACTAAAAGTAGATGTAAAAGAGCTAACTGACAGTAGTCAATAGTTTCAAGTCTCAAAAAACTCATTTGCTGGAGCCAAGATATTTAAAAAGTCCTAAAGTCATGTACTGTACTGATGAGTTAGACAAACCCTCTATATAATTCAGGGGTTCCAAATTACAAGTCATTTTAAGTTGTTGAAGATCAGAGATGATATTTCTTATGTGGGATACAGTGAAGTAGATCTATGTGTAAGATCATGGGATGAAGCCATTTCTCTTTTGCAATGCAGATTTTAAAATGGAAAATACAAAAATACATCTTAGAAGCTAAACAGATGAAGTGAATACATCTCAATAGTCAAAACTAGGAAGCACTTTGCCTTGCTTGCTTTTAGATGGATTTATTTCTTATCATTGTCAGTAATTCATTGATTCAACAGCTCTCTGCAAGGTTGTGTTATGCTGCATGACAGATTTTGAGGCTCTGGGAATAGAGAGTGGACACATCAGGCACCTGCCTTCCTCTCATGGTATTTACAGTCCATTCAACAAGAAAAGTAATAAAGAAATTAAAAACAAACCAGATAATTTCAGATTGTGGTGAGTGCTGTGAAACAAAACAAGACAGTGTGATAGAATAGTAAGCAATGTCTCAATGAAGACAGAAATTGAGTTGGTTAATTTAGATGAACTGATCAGAAAAAGTGAAGGTAGTATTTGCGTCAGAATCAGAGTGGAAAGGAACCAGCTCTTTTAAACCTGGTAGAGAGAATTTTAGCTGGACAGCGGAGAGGATGGAAAGGCCTTTGAGCAAGGGTGTGCTTGGTGTGTATGAGAGAGAGAGGAGAGTGAATCTAGAGCTTAGTGACCCAGAGAAGGAGTGAAATAAAATAGCGCCAGAGATATCTTCAGGGCCAGACCATCTTGGGCCCAGTGGAGCTTCGATTTTATACTAAATAAGAGGGGAAGCCATCAGGAAGCCTTCAGGGCATGGCAAAATCTGATGCCCAGTTTTAAAAAATCCATCTGGCAACTGTGAAGAAAATGGATTGTAAGGAGATAAAGATCGAAGCAGGAAATAAGTGCCCAATAAATATTTATTGAATGAATAAATGAAATAAAGTTGATGTCTTTTGCTGAGGCTATTCAATGTAGGCATATCCATTAAATTGCTGATTATATATGGGTTTCTCTGAGAACATCTATTTAAAACTGCAGAAACCTCTTTCAGTTAAAAGATGTGGGTCTGATTTGGCACACAAAATATTGAAATTCCTGCAATATTATTATATAGGGTAACATTTCATGTAAATTCTTAGAATCAAAATGAGAGGTGGTGAGAACAATTTGACAATTTCAATATTATTAGGTCTGTGTAGCCCAGTGCAACATATATGATTTTACCTGAAGTCACTATAGAAACCATTTGTCCCAGAAAACTAGACTTCAAAAGCACAGGCCTTAGAATCAGGTACAATTTGGCCTTTGTCCTGACTTTAATATCCTTTAGCTGTGAGATCTGAAGCCTCCTCATCTATAAAATGGTAATACTACCCATCTCAATGGGTTACTGTGATAACTCAATGAGATGACCCACTCAAAATATTTACTTGGCTATCACGTAAGTGTTCAATAAATGATTGCTATTACTATCAATTGATTCGTTGATTGTGGTTTAATGATCTCTGCCATCTGTATATTCATCAAGGTCCAAATTGGAAGGATTGAGATGGGAGGTGGGAAGGCTGCCTCATTCGGGCTCACCCCTATAACACTGGGCTTTGTCTCATTAAATGGAAAATGAAATAAAAGAGTAAATTAGGTCACCTCCATCTAGTAGGAAACAAGAGAGATATAGTAAAAAGAAAAAAGGAAGGCAGATGAATTTATTGTATTCACTTAGCAATTTTCGCTGTGTGTCAGATAAGTTATGTCCAATCAGTTGATTTCATTCCAATTCCATTATCTTTAGCTTTTTCCTAAATTAGCAATTGATGACAAACTAATTGTACTTCTCTTCATGGTCCTTCTGTTTGATAAGTTCTTTTGTGAACTTATTTGTAGACTCTATGAGAAAATAATTAATTCTCAATGCAATTTTATGACCTGTTTTAGCAATGACCTAGCACTCTAGTATTTTCTGTGCAAAGTTAGTTGCTTCTGCCATGCAGAGCCTAATATAAATAATAAAAGATCTCTAATATAAAATGAAATACATAAAATGAGGCTATATTTGTATGGGAATTTCTATGATAGATCAGTAAGTGAAAAGGTATGTTAAAGACCAGATTGTAAATGTTTTTTGTTTGTTTATTTGCGTGCATATCTAAATATCTGTTACGTTAAATGTTGCATCTGTGTATATGTACTATGAAGAGTAATAATAGCAATGACTTCTATGGATTATTAGGGTTCTTTCTTTAACTGTATTGTATGAAATTCTACAGGAGCAAGAGAAAGATGTATCTTATTTTCAATAGCAAAGAGTAGTCCAGGGAAGCTGGAGCAAGAGATACACAAAAGCAATGTATGAACCATAAAAATGGGAGGAAAATATGGTATAAGTGAAGATATATAAGCTAGATTGAGTAGTAGTCAATGAGTTCTTTGCCCTAAGAAGGAGCATACATTTTTATAGCATACTTCTATAACTCTGAATGTTTAACCATTTATTTTATGTTGTTATGATTTAAAAATCTAGAACGACTGGGTCAAAACAGGAAAAGGACTTTTGAAATAATGGAAAAACTAAGGAAACTGTGGGTAAGACAGGATTAAACAAGCTGCCCCAATTTATGTTGCTAGGAATAAAATCTAAATATTTTGACTCTAAGGAGCATGCTGCTACCTCTGAAAGTCACGCCTTTCACCAAAAAGTATTAATTATACAAAGTTAAGTTAAACTTGACCCTCAACTATGTCTAAAAATTATTATAAAAATTGGAAGAGAATATCATATTCTGTTTCCTGTACTTTCCACATATTATTAAAGAAAAATGTGATATGTGAAAATTAGAAAATGTAAAATATAAATTAAATTTAGACAAAATTTGGCTTGCAGACATCAGGAGTAATTTAAGAAGCTCTGGCCAAACCTCCCAACAAACTTGCCTTCTGCTTCCCATCCTGCCTTGTTCCTTATGACTAAAACTATCTTGAATTACAAGCTGAACGAAAAGCTCTTCTATGGCTTCCCAAGCAGCACAGCAGTTCCTCAAGAGGTCTTTTGTCTTCCCCCGATGTCCATTTCAGGGTCTGGTGTCCCAACTCAGTGCTCCAGGACTGCACCTTGCCTTCTGCTCCTGAGTGTCCCGATGTTGTGTGCCCCCCCACATTTCTGACCATCATTAGTTATTGCATTAACTAATGACCCTGAAATGGACATCAGGGGGTAGATAAAAGACCTCTTGGAGGAACTGCTGTGCTACTGATGATGGAAAGGAATAGTCATAACACGTGATGCAGGGTAAATGTGCAGGTATAGGTAGAGTAGCTCGAACTTCAAAAGGCAGAAGTTGAATGTACACGTAAGACCACAGAGTGATGTGTTCAACTCAGAATGTGCCTTTTGCCATGGAATTTTTCCTAATATAAAAGTGAGGATGTTATTGCTAGAATTTCTGTTCAGCTAGCACTGTCTCATTCTTGAGTCATTTGTTGTTTTTAGTTGTTTTCCTCCATTAGGCTTATGTTACCAAATGGGTCATATAAAACATCTATTTGAAGTGTTATAGTTTAAACATATATTGTTTTGTGAAACATTTTCAGACATTATATTTCAGCAGAGATGCATTTGAAAACCATACTTTTGTGTCAATTACGTATATTCTGAAGTCCTTTAATCTTGTAAACTCCTGCCAGTATCCCTTGCCAATAGCCAAACCTCTCAGCCGTATCTTTTAGGTAAAGGGCAACAGCTATTTCATGTCTATTTGCCAATAATTTCCTCTGCTCCAGCTTGAGTTAGTACAGGATTCATATAGCTAGTCTGCCTTCATGATTGACTGAAATTGTGTGAAAATAAAACTCAAGGCCCATCTGCTTTTCTAATTTTCATCCAAGATTCCCTGGAAGGGAAGTACGCTGGAGACCAAATATTTGCCATTGCTGTGTATGGCTGTAGTTTTGGAAGACATCCCAGTATGGGAAAACACAATACTGGATTATTTCAAATGTTAGTTCTCTTTTTCTTTCGCTCCTTCCCTCCTTTACTATTATATAAAAATTCTAAATTTCTCCAGGGATTTGACTGATTTCCTAGTATTTAATGTCTGCAGGAGATTGAGATACATGTTTTAGTACAACAAAAAAGCAGACTTTTTAGAATGCATAATGAGTGATAACCATTATTACAGTTGGAAATAAAAATGGATAGTATATTGTAATAGTCAGTATGGCAATATGTGCTTGCATGGAGTGCTGCTACAACCATCTCTGGGAAATTTCAAATTCATTGTGGGCTCTTTCATGTTGCTTGAGGTGTTCCCTCTTTCTAAAATTTCCTTTCTACCTATCTGTAGTCTCTAATTTCTTCAGATTCTATTCATTAATTATATGGCATCTGACACTCTAATCATTAATCATTCTGATTCCTAAGTTCCTTCATATTTGTTATACTGGATAAGAGGTTTGGAAACTCACTCTGTAAAAGCTCAGATAGTAAATAGTTTAGTTTCGTGGGCCATATGATATCCATTGCAATATTCTACTGCTGTGTGAAAGCCATCAGAGACAATACATAAATGCATGATGTGTAACTGTGCTCCAATAAAACTTTACTTACAAAAGCAATCTGTGGGCTGGGTTGGGCCTGCAGGCCATAGTTTTCTAACTCTTGGTGGTTAACACTATTTTGGGGTTTTCAGAGCTTGAGAGAAACTTAAACTTCCTCATATTACTTGTGTATCACCTGTAGGAAAGGGGTTCATTGACATATTCAGGGTCACACGTTTATGATGGAGCCAGGTCTAATGAGCAACTCAACTAACAACAACCCTACATTTCTAATTTATTTGTGGCTTTTTGTATTTGATTTTATTCTATTTAGCATTGAATTTTAAACCATTTTTATTACTCTTTTGTTGCTTCATGTTTAATTACTTTTTGTGGATTCATTTATTACTGCCACTTATGGAGGAATATGCCATATCTTTGTATGTATGTGTGTGTGTGCATATATACAAATGGAATGTAGCGAAATGGAATTATATATATATATGTGTGTGTATACACACACACACACACACACACACACACACACATATACATATAATCTGCCTGAAGTAGTGAAAACAGCAAAATGCAGTGTAAGATCTCAATAAATAATCGTGATTAATGTCCTCCAGGGAAAAATATAGTAATTGTTGCATTTTTTAGCTTATAATATGATTATAGATTATGTTTTAATTTGGAAGAATGTGAGATTGCTGGTGCTTTACATTCTGATAATAATTTTGCAGTCACCTTTAAAAAAAATTGCTTATTGGCCCTGATCTTTACTAAGCTCAATTTAATTCTAATTATTGTTATTCTGAATAATTATATAATTTTTTCAAATTATTACTTTAATTTTTAAATTTTTAAAAATTGATTTGATTTTTTAAATTAGTAAAAAATGTAAAATTTGGTACTCAGATGATGAATTAGTTACAGAAGCCAATTTGTTTAATGTAATAACTCTAAACTATATTATGGTTTTATAAATGCTACATATAAATTCTAAATTTAAATTAGCTATTGGATCATTTAATCAGTTATCAACTTAGTTTAATTACATTCAACGCAACCATATCTATCCATTGGATATTCACTCTTAGAAAATGTGTCATGCATTATTATCAAGTATGAGCTAGCCTGATTGAGCAGGTATGGACTAGAAAAATTTCTCCTAGCATGATCCTGCAGATTTATAACGTGGCTTTCTTCCTCATTTTCTTCATATTTCTACTCAAATGCTACCTGATCATTTTGTCAAAACTTTCCTTGAGAAGGCAGCATAAAATAGCAATTCTCTTCCTCTCCACCTCACCCCCAAACTCCCTGCCCACTGTTTCATATTTAATGTTCCTTCTTAGTATTAATTACCATAGCATACTATAAATTTACATTTTTTCGTTGGCATGTTTCTTCCCACAAAAACATAAGCTCTACAAGGGCAGGGCATTGTTAATTTCACCTTCAGCTGCACTTCAGTGCTTGGCAGTTGATGCATATTTAAATGAATGAAATGAACATGAGTGAATGTTAGCACATTTCTAATATAACGGGAACATTAGAAGGAATGTTTACTCCAATTAAAGGCAACACTTATCTCAAAAATTATAAAAAGTTATAATCAAATGTATCAGAAAGTAGGAAAATCAAGGATGTATGTTTGTGCTCACAGCTAAACAGAAGTAGATGTTTTCGATTAATATGAAACCCATTACTTTAGATGATAGCTTTGTGAATTGATACTTTTAAAACAAATTTTAAGTTCTTTTCATTCTTTTACATTTAACTTTCTGGGGAACTTATTTATACACACATGCCATATTTCACAGAGGCACGCAGTATAACTAAGAAAAATAAGCAATTTTACAAATATTATATGAAGACGGATTTGTTGATTTTAATTTCCAATTTGTATACAATTGAGTGGTGAGATAATAAATAATAATTCATTTCTCCAGTATCATTGGGGACTTAAGTGAATTTACAAGAAAATTAGTTTATTCTTTCTGTTGCTAAAATATTTTTTGCTTATAAATTTGAGAGAGAAACATTTTTGAATATATAGAGAAACATTTTCTGTTTTATTAAACAGAGTTCTGAGCATAAACATTTGTGGGGAATTTAAGACCACTACTCTAAAAATTAAGTGTTGTGGCATGTTATAATATGAGATCTTGCTTCCAGACTCTTTGAGGTTCATTGGGTTTAGTACATTCATTCATTTATCCTACAAATGTTTTTAGAGTACGTGCCAAGTACCATTGTTCAGATCACTGGAGAGTAAGCATTAGGCCAACTAAAACTTCATTTCAGATAGAGCTTTCTATCTAGTGGGAGAGAAAGACAACAAAACAATTAAATGAGTAACAACATAACATATATGTATTATGACAGAAAATCAAGCAGGATGTGGATACAGAGACTGATGGCAACAAAATGCTGGGTGAACTAGCAAACCCTGTCCTCAGTGGCAAAGGTCACATTGAGCAGAGACCTGTGACAAGAGAGGATACTTGGAGTAGTAGTTGCAAAGGCTTACAGCAGGGGTAGGATTGTTTTTAAAGGAAGAGGAGGGGCCAGGTGCGGTGGCTCACACCTTTAATCCCAGCACTTTGGGAGGCCGAGGCGAGCAGATCACGAGGTCAGGAGATCTAGACCATCCTGGCTAACATGGTGAAACCCCGTCTCTACTGAAAATACAAAAAAAAAAAAAAAAAATAGCTGTACTTGGTGGCACACGCCTGTAATCCCAGCTACTCAGGAGGCTGAGGCAGGTGAATCGCTTGAACCCGGGAGACAGAGGTTGCAGTGAGCCGAGCTGGCGCCACTGCACTCCAGCCTGGGCAACAGAGTGACACTCGGTCTCAAATAAAAATAAAAAAGAAAAAAGAGGAAAGGGGCCATGGTGGCTAGACAGGAATAGACAAGAACATGGGGAAAGAGATAAGACTAGTGTTGTGGCCATCATAGGCCACTGGGTGGCGGGGTAGCAGGGGTTGGGCAGGGGTACTTTGAACAGTAGGCCAAGTTGAGAGCAGGAGCCAGAGAGCATTTTGAGTACAGCAGCCACAAGTTCACTTACAGTTTGAAAAGTGTTTCTTCAGCTGCTGCCGGCAAAACTATAGCAGAGTGAGAGGGGAAGCAGGGAGACCACACAGTCTTTTGTAACAGTGATCTCTGGAAGCTGTATGTGCCCTATCTGTAGCTATGGAGTTGAAGTGAGGCAGTAGGATTTGGAACATCCCAGTATCAGAAGACTTAGCCCTCCATGCCATTTCCCAGAGACCCAGAGAGGGACGGTAGACTCAGAACAGTCCTGGCCACGTTAACATTAGAAGCACTTAGGCGTTGGCAAAATGAGAAAGATCCATCAAAGGAATCAGAGAGCAAGCAGCTAATGAGAAAAAAGAGAAAAAAAAATCTTAATGACATTATAAAAGCCAAGTGCAGAAAGTGTTACAAATAGAATTGAGGTATTGCCTGGTTTCAGTGCAGTTGATTGGTTGAGCATGATGGGAACTGATTAATTTTTCTGTCAGTAATAATTTTCAAGTTGATGGTTATTCTGTCTTTACTTGCTGATGTCTAGTTCTTTCTTTCTTTGATTTTTGAGACGGAGTTTTGCTGTTGTTGCCCAGGCTGGAGTGCAGTGGCACGATCTTGGCTCACCGCAACCTCTGCCTGCCAGGTTCAAGCAATTCTCCTGCCTCAGCCTCCCGAATACCTGGGATCACAGGCATGCACCACCATGACCGGTTAATTTATCATTTTTAGTAGAGATGGGGTTTCTCCTGTTGGTCAGGCTGGTCTTGAACTCCCGACCTCAGGTGATCAACCCGCCTTGGCCTCCCAAAGTGCTGGGATTACAGGCATGAGTCACCACTCCCAGCCTCTTTTTTCTATTCTAGTGAGAACATGTAACATGAGATCTGCCTTGATAAGTGTGCAATATCATCTAGAGGTATAATATTTCACACCAGATCTCCAGAACTTAGTCATCTCACATAACTGAAATTTTATACGTGTTGGTTAGCAACTCCCCATTTCTTGGTCTTTTGGCTTTGGTAGGAGTCCTCTTTGTCTTTCCTCCTCCAACATTAGTAATTCTAGTTCCCTGTTCCTATAATGTATAAATACCTGAAGATTTCCAGGAGATGCCAGATACCAAAGCTTATTACAGGAACAAGCTCAATTTTACTCATGATTCTCAGATAGCAAGACTGAGGTGAAGTCCTTTGGAGTAATGTGCTTTGCTATGGTTTTCCATTTGAATATCAGGGTTATATAAACAGCTCCTGTGTTATATTATATTTAGGATAACAGAATTGCCTAAATTCCTTTGCTAAATATTGTTTCAAAGATACATAAAAGACATATCAGATTCAATGATTTTTTAACCAACACATACCAATCGTTATTTCGAAATCGTTGTTGAGTGTCTCTCTCCCTCTCTGTCTTTTGTTTTCAGAAAAATGTGATGAGCCACTTGTCTCTGGACTCCCCCATGTGGCTTTCAGCAGCTCCTCCTCCATCTCTGGTAGCTATTCTCCCGGCTATGCCAAGATAAACAAGAGAGGAGGTAAGCCAAATTTTGATTCTTTTATCAATAAACATGTTAAATAAGAACATGTTATATTTATAGCCATATATATATATAATCACACAACAGATGTTGGCAGACACCAGAAATCACTCCTGCCACTTCTATTAAAAGATCCATAGATGCCATTAACCTCTCATGTAATCTCCACATTGAAATAACATAGGAAAACTTAGGCTGGAAGTTAGAGATAGTACGTCAAAAAGGAAGACATTTTGAAGTTGCCTGGGATAATAAAGTCAAAATGGCATAAACGTTTAGAGTTAAAATTCCTATTAATCAGAAAATCATTTAGAAAGATGTAAAAAAGAATTGACTCCCAAAATGCGTACGGTGTATTAAAAAAAGCACTTTGTATTTACTGTATATTAATGTAAAAAGTTAGTTCCTATTGAAAATGCAAATGCCCCTTGTAATTTTTCCTCCGGTACCCAGAATGTAGCTCTATTATAAAATCTGTGTAAAAAATCGTTAGATGTGTGCAACTACAATGTGAGTTCTTGACCTTAAATCATGGTATTTGTTAGTAACTGGCAGTTTCAAATTTTCTAGCAATTCACTGAGAGTAAAAGAACATAATTAAGGACAGAGGCAAAAAACTCTTTTGCTTCAAAGGAACACTGGTACAAACATCAGTGAATGGCAACTTAAAAAGGAAAGAAACAATATTATCTCAGATAAATATGAATCAACAAACAGAGACCATGATGTTTAATTCAGTAAAACAGGAATGGTGGTGGTTGACAGGGGCTTCGGTGGAGAGGGAGAAAAAATTGAGATATCTGTTAAAAGGTACAAAGTTTTAGTTAGACAAGATGAATAAGTTTTGGATATCTATTGTGTAGCATGGTGACTATAGTTAATAATATGTTGCATCCTTGAAAATTGCTAAAGTAACAGCTTTTAAGTGGCCTCACCATTTATGAAAAATAACTGTGTTGTGATGGATATGTTAATTATCTTGAGTTAATTATTTCACAATACATATGTCAAAACACCATGTTGTATACTATAAATATATAAATTTTTTGTGACTGCACCTTAATACAGCTAAAGGAAAATAAGAAATGTGAAATCATAAAACAATCTAGAATCAACCAATTCTATAAATAAAAAAATGAAAGGGAATGAATATAGGAGGAAGTAAGAAAGGGAAGAAGGGAGGGAAGGAGAAAGGGAGGGAGGGAGAGAGGAAGGAAGAAAGGAAGGAAGGAAGGAAGGAAACAAAGATGAAAAAAGAAAGCAGGAGGAAACCCAAAAGAAGAACAAGAAGAAGAAAATAAAGAGAGGGAGAAAAAATATTGTATCAGAAAAGAAAGGCATATCAGATTTAGAAAGACCAAAAAAGAGAAGAAAATAGATAGGAAAAAGCTAGCCTAGTGTATACAGAATAATATATAAGGTATTCACAGATCTATGAAGAGGTCTCAGTCAGTAAAAAGACTTGGTGAAAGAGTGATACACAAGCAAAGGTAGAGGAACATAACAAAAATGCAGTTTTAATGTAATATTAGTATAAATTAGCTCATTTTTATAACCTGATATTCATCAGGCTATGGACATGAGAGAGTTGTTGAGTTACTATAAGTTATCAAAAATTCTGCATAAAGATGTTGAAGTAATATAAATTTTAATATATTTCTCTCTCATAAAAGTCATTGAAAACAACTAAAACAATGAATATAGACAGAAAAACATGAAACAAGGGACTGGCCATACCCAAATGGTAATTATGATACAGACCTTCCCATTACTAGGAAATCTAGGACAAAATATGAAAAAGAAATACCATATAATTCTAGGTCCCAAGAGAGTGTACTGTTCCCTAAAAGAAGTGCCATAATGCCGAGAGACATAAAGCACCTGTGAGGAATGGAAGCAGAGTCAGAAAATGTTACTTTCAAAAGTTTTGAGTGAAAATACGACTGAAGAAGATGATTTGCTCAGTAAATTTGGGCAAGTCAGGTTCTGTCATGCAAACAGCACTTCAGGAATACAAATGAGACAATCTAGTCACCAATGAGAAAATTGAAAGTGCACAATAAAGAAATTGTGGCCACATGACTGGTGTTGAGCAAGGAACCCATTTCCATATAAGACCTCGACTAAACGATGTAGGAGCTATAGTTGTAGGAGAGAGTATAAATGTTATAGGCACAGAAATGTAAAAGTGTCAATTATGGGAATTAGAGAGATGTGGGTGTTTTTTCTTCCTAACCTTTCAGAGCAGCAGGTTACCAGATGCTGAAACTTTAGGTACAAATTTATTCTGCCTTTGGTTTTTTAATGGGAATTAACATCTTTTACAAGAAAAAATATATAGGTTTTTTGCTCTCATTTAATTCTAGAAAAGTTAAATTATTTTTTCTTTGTTTTAACATAATACAAGATACCACTTTACACCATTTAGAGCTGCTTATGTATTTATCTACTCATACAGAGAGAGTCAGGTATCTGATATTAAGCTTCCAAAGTGTTAATATATTTCTTAACTTGGACACTTGGATTTGAGGAGTATCTTTACTTTCCTTATAGTAGTTTTGTCTGTAGTTTGTAGAATATATATTTATATCTACCTAGATGATTGACAGGTAGGTAGGTAGGTAGATAGAGAGAAATAGAATGCATTTCCAGAAAGACAGATGTTTCAAAAGCAAAAAAACTATAAAACAAAAGTTACAGTTTCTTAACTGTGTGACCCACAGTTCATCTCTTTTTGACCATTGATATACTGGATTGTCATACATTAGGGTGAAATTATCACGTTGGGAAAGAAAGTGTTGTCTGTCCTATAGATATAGATCTACACTTCATTGTAGCCCATTTTATCATTTGTTATGTGGGGATGTGCAGCTACGTACTTTTTGGCTTCTAAAGACTGCTTTGCTTATCAGCGTTATGCTGTCCATAATGACATATAACTCGCCCTCCCCAACGCTCTCATTTTTGCTCCCTAATTTTTACGGATGGTGAGGTAACTAAGCTATATCTTCACCCTTTATGCTGCTCTGCCCCTGCAGGTACAGCAAGAAACATACATGTAGGGCTTCACCCTTGTTGGCCACGTAAATGTGGGTCAAGGGAACTAGCATGAGAAAGAAAGGTTATATCCTCTCCAAGGAAAAACAAAAAGAAAGTCATACATAGTTGTTACAATACAAAACTTTTTTTTTTTTTTTAAGACAGGGTCTTGCTCTGTTGCCTGGGCTGGAGTGCAGTGGCATGATCTCAGCTCACTACAAGCTCCACCTCCTGGGTTCAAGTGATTCTTCTGCCTCAGCCACACAAGTAGCTGGGATTACAGGAGAGTGCCCACCATGCCTGGCTGATTTTTGCATTTTTTAATAGAAATGGGGTTTTGCCATGTTGGCCAGGTTGGACAACAAAATATTTTCTTCCACTCTAAAATTTATATGCAAATGCCCTTGGGAGAAGAGCCATGTAGGGTGAAATTCTTGAAAACATATATGTGGCTAATAGCCAGCATTGAGAGAAAAGAGATTTTTTTTTTTAAGTATAGCATGATGTTATATATCTGGAAGATATAAAGAAGACAGACAATTCCAAGCAGAAAAAATATATGAACATTATAGAATCCAGGAATGTTGGAGATACATTTTCTTAATTTACAAGTGGCAAGAGTCATCTGATACAGACACTATATAAGTATCTGAAAGTGAGAAGATCATATACTAACAGAAAAATATCAGAATGTAACCTACTAATTATACAAATGCAGAAAAGAACAAATTCAGTTGAGCATTATGTTGATAAACATTGGCTTCAAGTTTTATTATTTACTTAAATGATATTCCTAAAGTACATTTTGGAGAGAAAGTTTATAAATACATAGGAAAGCACCATATAAATGCATATATTCAAATGACAGATTGTCACATATTTATGAAATTGAATTTAGTTTATGGTTCTCCACAATACAAATCCATCTGCTATAATCTTGATGTCAGGGACCAGTACATGGCAAAAGTATGGAGGAAATGAGATGTTTAAATGAAAAATCCATGCGTAATTCTGACATGTCTTTTGGAGCTCATTGTTTTTAGTTTATTGGTGCTGTTGTTTTCTTATCAACACCTTATTCCTGTGATCTGTGTTCTGATTTATCCCCACATTTTTAATCCATCGAAGGCTTCCCAGTCTTGTGTCATTCTGAGTTAGTAGCACTTAGATGTGTTACTCTTTCCAAGGTTAGCACAGATACAAAACCTTTGAAAGTTTCAAACAGCATATCCCTTACCTTACTTTTAATATAGAATTTTACAGATTATAAACTGCTTTCATCTGTGCTCTAATTGTTTCTCAATCTTCATAACAACCTGGTTAGAAAGAATGGTCAGTTAGAGATGCCAATCAATTCTTCTGCCAAACTTTCAACCTTGTACTTCATATGCCTTTTGTAGAAATCAGTCCTTTTCTTCTGCCAGAGAGACAGCCATCCACCACGTGGTCCAGGTCTCTCTCCACTACCACAGAGGCTTAGTGAGAACACCTGATCTCAACGGTTGCTATTAGAATCCCTCTGCTTTGTTACCTGACATCGTTTTGGGAACCCAGGGGACTACTGGGGAAACGATAACAGGCTATGTGTAAACTAGAGAGAAGAGGAGAGCAGGTGCTGGGGAAGAAGTGAAGACATGAGGCCAGGGTACCTGCACAGAGAAGGATGAATCAAGCTCTGGTTTCACTCACAGGCTCTTTCAGACCCCTGTTTCCAACTTGCTTAACCTCTGACTGAACTTCAGCTTGAGTCTCTCAGATGTATCATTCCAGTTCTAATGGTCACCTCCCCCTGTCTGAGCTCATTAAAGTAAGTTTTTCTTCCTAGTTACTAAAGGACTTTTGGTTTTAAAGAAAAACACAAACAAAAACTAGTTATTATCCCCGTTTTACAAATTCAAATAATACATATAGAAACCCCAAAATACATCATTAGGTTCTAAAGTAGCATAGCTAGGGAACAGTGGCACAGGGAGAGGGACACAAATCCATATCTTCTGCTGGAACCCAACACTCTTTATATGTAATTACACCAGATGAGGTAATATCAGTGCTGCCTTTTTGAATTAGCCCAATGATGGTGCCTAAAATGAGTTTGAAGATTTGAGTCAAGTTCAATTTATTTATGCTGTTATAGCCAGAGAAACCCAGTCATGCAATCTCAGTATTTCCCAACTAATGTAGATCCTGAATAATTTTCTTTCTTTTCACCTTCCTGCCACTGATTTTTACTTAGTAGATATGTCTAAGAATCTTGTTTGTTGCCTCCTCAAAGATGTTTCCTCCTATGTATTTTCCCTGAGTAATTTCTCCCATTTTAAGAATGCGTCATCTTCTCTATCACACCAGAGGGCAGAAGGTTGTGGTGGTGATGTTGTTTTCACATTAGTTTTCCTCTATTTCCTTCAGCAGGGAAAACACATTGCACTTGCGGTCACATAATTAATAATCACTTATCAAAGGAGTATGTGAATAACAGATGTTTGGAGAGACTGCTAGAATAGATCTCTTGAAGTTTCTACGTGTATCTCAAAGAGAACCACAGTCCTTACCTTTCCTTAAAAGACACCACTTTATACTAGAATGATTTATAATCCTTTGGGTGTGTACCCAGTAATGGGATTGCTGGGTCAAATGGTATTTCTGGTTCTAGATCCTTGAGGAATTACCACACTGTCTTCCACAATGGTTCAACGAATTTACACTCCTACCAACAGTGTAAAAGTGTTCCTATTTCTCCACATCCTCGCCAGCATCTGTTGTTTCCTGACTGTTTTTTTTTTGAGACGGAGTCTCTCTCTGTTGCCCAGGCTGGAGTGCAGTGGTGCGATCTCGGCTCACTGCAAGCTCTGCCTCCGAGGTTCATGCCATTCTCCCCCTTCAGCCTCCTGAGTAGCTGGGACTGCAGGCGCCCGCCACCATGCCTGGCTAATTTTTTTTTTGTATTTTTAGTGGAGACAGGGTTTCACCATGTTAGCCAGGATCGTCTCAATCTCCTGACCTTGTGATCCACCCGCCTCGGCCTCCCAAAGTCCTGGGATTACAGGCGTGAGCCACTGTGCCCGGCCGGTTTCCTGACTTTTTAATGATCACCATTCTAACTGGTGTGAAATAGAATCTCATTGTGGTTTGATTTGCATTTCTCTAATGACCAGTGATGATGAGCTTTTTTTTAACATGTTTGTTGGCCGCAATCCAACCCAAATGGCCACCAATGATGGACTGGATAAAGAAAATGTGGGACATATACACCACGGAACACTATGCAGCTATAGAAAAGAATAAGTTCATGTCCTTTGCAGGGACATGGATGAAGCTGGAAGCCATCATTCTCAGCAAACTAACACAGAAACAGAAAACCAACACTGCATGTTCTCACTTATAAATGGGAGCTGAACAATGAGAACACATGGACACAGGGACGGGAACATAACACACCGTGGCCTTTCATAGGGTGAAGGGCAAGGAGAAGGAGAGCATTAGGAGAAATACCTAGTGCATGTGGGGCTTAAAACCTAGATGACAGGGCCGGGCGCGGTGGCTCACGCCTGTAATCCCAGCACTTTGGGAGGCCGAGGCAGGTGGATCACGAGGTCAGGAGATCCAGACCATCCTGGCTAACGTGGTGAAATCCCGTCTCTACTAAAAATACAGAGAATTAGCCGGGCGTGGTGGCTGGCGCCTGTAGTCCCAGCTACTCGGGAGGCTGAGACAGGAGAATGGCCTGAACCCGGGAGGCGGAGCTTGCACTGAGCCCAGATCGCGCCACTACACTCCAGCCTGGGTGACAGAGCGAGACTCCATCTCAAAAAAAAAAAAACAAAAAAAAAACACCCTAGGTGACAGGTTGATAGGTGCAGTAAGCCACCGTGGCACATGTGTACCTATGTAACAAACCTACACATTCTGCCCATGTATTCCAGAACTTAAAAAAAAAAAATCACTAAAGCCATAGTTTCCAGTTTAATTTTTAAAAATTAACATAAAAAGACACAAAAGACACCACTGAAGTTCATAATTGCCACGATGCCTTTATACCACAGCTTGCTCAGATAATCACTGTAGGCTGGTGTCATTTTCCACTTCCTGTTGGCCAGGAGGAAGTTCTAGTGATAAGCATGACGCCAACCTCTTCCCTAGCTCACACTTACATACACATGTCCCCCTCCGGAAACGCGCTGGGCTGCCTCTTACAGGCTCCCAGGCAGTTCAGCAAACAGTAAAACCTTATTCTACTCTTGAGAAATCTATTATTCCTGCTACTCCTAGAAAGAAAATTTTTCCCTTTTTCCCACTCTCAATTCTCTTGTCTCTGAGTTGCATTTATAAAACACCTTCTTTCCCTCTGCTTTTTCTTTGCTCTCCTCTTTTTGCCTTTAAATATTAGAAGGATCTGTCACAACTAATTAAATCTAGAACTGCAGCTGATATACTATAAACTGGGAACGGAACCACAGCGCGTCCATGAGGGCATTGTCTGTCTGTGTGGCCTAGCTCCTCCTGCTGGTACTCTTCTGCTGTCTCTAGTCCGTGATGTACTCCTTTGTTACACATGGCCCACTCATGACCGCCCGAATCAGCCACAGTAGGCGGTATTCTTAACCTTAATTAGGAAGCTTTATTCTTAGAATATAACATCAAGGCTTAAATTATGAAGTAGACTCAAGTTCCCAATTGATGAGATTCTGCCCTATTTTTGCAGCTTCCATTCCAATATTTTTCCTCTTTCCCTTTGCCAGCCTCTACCATGTAGTACTTTTTAAAATTTTCTCCTTTTCTCACTCACAGGTAATTCATTATTACTTAAGTATGAAGTAATCGGTGAAGTGATACCTCTCAGGACGATTTGCCTTATAAAAGCACATCCTTGGGAGCAGAAAAATTCAAAGAACTGGTTTCCTAATGGGGCATTTCAGGATATTTGACATTCCTATTTTGGCTGGTCATACTTCTTCATCTTCAATTGGCTCTCCTGGAAACACCTGCTGATTTTGTCGGCTCTGAGGCAGTGCTGAGCAGTAAAAGGAGAGTGGCTTGTCTTCATGCCTAACTAAGTTCCAGTACTGAGCTGACCAAGGACAAGCATGGGATTAGCAAATTATTTAAATGTATTATATCTTGGTTTCCTGATTTCTATGATTACTATATCTGAACCAGGATATAATAATGATAAAGGATATAATATGGAATAATTTGTCATCTGAGTCAGGAACTTTTGACAGTGAAAGAGAGTATCATTAATAGTTACACAAGGATAATCCTGAAAGTATGGTCCCTCTACTTGTAGTTTAAAATAAAATCAGTTATACTGTTTAGCAGAGCTACCGTGAAGGTTAAAAGAAACAATTTACACAAACTATGTTGCATTGAAATATTAGTCTCTTTCCCATAAGTTACTCCCAGCTTCTAAAAACAACACTATAGATACCAACATTTTAAAACGAGGATTGAATTAAATACCTTTGTCATTACAAAGACGATGCCTCCTTAAAAATTTATTGTTTAAATTTGTGTATTTGCCAATGTATGTGTGTTTTCCCCCATTATCATCTAAGACAAAATATTATCATAATAATTTAAAAATTAGTAAAATAACATTTTTAAAACTTTCAGTATTTTTGGGGTGTTAAGACTTACAGTGACTTAAATATTCTGCAGGACTTTTCACCTCAAACTCCTTTCAATTTAAGTGAAAGAGATTATGCCAGTGATTTTTAAGTGTTGTTTTGTTCTTATTATCTTAATGTTGTTTGAATTTGATCTCTTAGAATCTATATATCTTATAGAAACTAACATGTAGTTATAAGCCTCATATAAAAAATTGTTCTGGACATTAGGGCGAATAAAAAGTATCACCTTTGTTTTCCTTAGCCCAATATATTCTATCTTTTAAATACAACTTTTCAAAGATTTCTTCTGAAGACCTCACAGATTTCATATCCACCTCCCCAAATGAATGAGAGTTTCCATCTAACTGGTATTGTGAATTTTAATGTATTCTTTTTTACTTAATTCTCAAAGATAAACCAAAATTTTGGCTTGACTGGGAGTTTTATAAAATTAAATGTGTAATACAGGAATATGTGTATCATTGACACTTGTTATAAATGATAGAATGTTGAAAGCAAACTCACCAGGCAATGACTCATACATTTTGTTTGGGCATACCTTTTTAAATTTTAAAATAGTATTGTTATTTTTCAACCATTACACTCAATTTTAAAATGTTGGTATTTCAACACCTTGTTTTTGTTTTCTTCATAGAAATCTGTGCTAGGTTTTGTTGCAATTTCCATAGAGCAATGCGTCCCAAAGTGCATGATGTTAATATGTGTGGTGAACACACGTATATACATACAAGTTTCCATAATCAAATCAGACTGGACAGATCTTGTGCTCTGGGATCTTCTTTTGGAGAATCACAGATCGTCTTTATCACAGAACATCTTTAAGGCCAGCAGAATACATTTCCACTTTGGGATTTGCTTTTATAAAATTTAGCTAAACATTGTGCGGATCACGGGCTTTCAATGGGGTTTCTTTAATGTACTTAGAAATATAGTCGTATCTCCCATGGTTTCACTACTGTGTTTCTGAAAATACTGATTATAAAAGTTCTTTGATAATAAGTCTAGTGATTTTTAGTTTAACAGAATGAACTAGACTTAATTAGAGAAAGGGGAATAAAGATAAAAGAGTTTTTCAATTTTGGACTTTTGAGATGAAGAATTTTTTAGTTAATTATTTTTAGGAAGTTACTATTTTCCCCTTTGTGTACCAAATTCTATATATCTTAATATTTGCTATTGAGAAAATCATGTACTGGCTTAACATCAATGCTATCACATTGATCCCTGCTGCCGCCTTTGAAATGGCTCTGGAATATTAATTTTCTAACACTCTCTTTAGATCACAACATTAATAGCTGACTGTCTAAAAGAGGGGGAAGTTTGCGAATAATTCATTATTATAATATGTTTGGTAATTTTAGTTTAAACACAATACTGAAAACTATCCTATTTGGTACTGGCCCTATAAAGTTTAGGACATATGGGATGGGATAACCACATCTGAATTAGCAAATCAATGTATTTAAACAAACAAACAAAAATTTAAGAAGATGTGAAGAATACATATACCTTTGTAAGATTGTTGATATGGATCTAGATTTTTCGTTACCCATAGGAGACATCTTGGGCCACTTCCTACTTGTGTTCAATTGCCAAAATTCCTCACTCACTTCTATAATGAGAAATTTTGAGTGGACACTCTCTAGGACCCTGTCGTCACTGAACGCCCGTTGTGTAGCCAAGAAAGATCATAATTCCTTGGTCTTGATCTTACTGGGCTCTTACAGATTCTTAGTGGTCTGGACCACACCTCCCTCTGTGCGTAGATATCGTTTCTATGAAATTTCTGGAGAATGGTCAGGATATCTAGGCAAAAAGCTTTATCAAATATTTACACACTGAATTTTTCTTTCTAAACCATTCAAGAATATAGGCAAAATGTGTTTACGAGAATAATCATTTAATATTCCTTTATCCCTTTGCTTTTTTTTTTTTTTTCTTTTAAGACAAGGTTTGTCACCCAGGCTAGAGTGCAGTGGCATGATCAGGGCTCGCTACAGCCTCCACATCCTTGTGCTCAGGTGATCCTCCCATCTCAGCCTCCTGAGTAGCTAAGACTATAGACTCGCACCACCATGCCCTGCTAATTTTTTTTTTAATGTTTGTACAGACAGGGTTTTGCCATGTGTGTCAGGCTGGTCTCGAACTCCTGCACTCAAGTGATCTACCCACCTTGGCCTCCCAAAGTGCTAGGATTACAGGCATGAGCCACAGAGCGCAGCCTATATGCTAACTTTATTCATAGAGAGTCTTTAGTATTTTTCACATCTCAAATAAGGAGGTGGAGAATTTTTGTGAATGATTTCTACCATCAGAAATATTCATTTTAAAAATAAAATTCTTCACAGCCTGAAAGCACTTTCATGCTGTACTTATGCAGGTTTGACTCTCAGAGAATATTTTCTAAATGTGTGAACAAGTACATAAAATATTATTTACTGCATATATTATTCTACTAATTGTAAATTTCAAATACTCATTGCTTATATGTAGGAATCATTTGTTAAATCAAGAGTTAATATTTGCTGGTACTTTTCTTGTTCCAAAAAACTATCTCACAAATTGTTTGGTCACTGTCGTAGCCAATTGGAATCTAGACTATAATAGCAGATGAGTAACAACAACCAACGCAATTATCATCATAAATAAACTAGAAATTTAAATCTCATTTTTAAAAATGAATATTCAGAGTCATTAGAGAATGGCCCTCTCATATCAACATTCTTTCAACACTTCCAATATTGTAGAACAGAGACCATGAGGATAATGTTGAGCTGATAAAGCATGCCTTTCTTATCTCAAGATATTATTTCACATACATGGCTTTCGACTTGTGCTGGCTTTTGGGTAACAGAATACATTGTATCGGTCCTTAACACTGTATCTGGCTCATAAGAAATACATTCTGTAACCCAGTAGAAGCAGTGTAGCCTACAAGAAGAAATGAAGGCCAGGAAAGAATAGGGCAAGTCCACAAGTAGCCGTTTGGGAAGCTCACATCAGCTGGTTGGTGAGTGGCATTGAACAGAGTTCATTCAATAGACAAGTTTAGGCCATAAAAAAACTGCACCTGTAAAAACTATAGTTCAAACCTGAAAATTACAATTCCTCTATACCAAATGAGTGACTGTATTTTTCAATATCTACTCTCCTGTGATTAAATTCCATGCTTTTGTGACTATTTATCCCTTTTTCTTTATTTTACTTATTAAGAGGCAGACCAAATTATTTCCAAGACAATTGGGAGGACTTAATCTAATAATGACTCTGTTAGCAACCGGCTCAGGTCATACTTATTAAAATGAACAGACCCTTCTCTTAATACCCTTAGCAAATTAGTGACTTTTTCACATTTTTTTCTTTCAGAATTAAGAAATATAGAATTGTTCTTTTATATGCATGCCTTGCAAAAGTAATTCTAAAAAAATTGTCACTAATAAGAATTCAAAGCAGTGTAGCCTTTGTTAGCTGCCTTTTCTATACACCAAGAATGAGCAATCAACATTGTTTACTCATCCTCTTGCTTTAAAACTCAGATATATGCTTGACGCGAATATTGCTGACAATAAAACATGACATTTAAGACAGTCTATTTTTATTGTTCTTGCCTCTTTAACATCAAAATGTAAACACAAAATGTAGAAAGATTTCTTCCCCAGGTTTTCACCCAAAGGTCATTTTATTTTATTTCCCTTAGCTATTATGATTTTCTTAGCAAGGTAAGGAATTCATGTTGCTTTTATTTTGCTTGGTTTTCATTCTCAGCAACTTTTGCAATGTATTTCCTTTGCATCTGTCTTCTGCTTTAAAATTGATAGACAATGGTATCTGTTTGAACTGCGGGTCCTTGTCTGCAATATGTCTGTAACCACCACCTCACCAGACATCCACAACCGGAAAGACTCTTCTGCCTCCAGGATGAATTATTTTGCATTACAAGGTTTGTGCCTGAGCATATGTATGAATAATGCATAATTAAGCGTGTTCTATAATTTTCTCTAGCCAGTGTCTGGCACATACATATTTGGATGGATAACGAATTGGGTTTTGTTTTGTTTTCAACCCTCTGCTTAGACCACCAAATAAGTCTTATAAGGATCTACTCTTAAGATGATGAAAAGTATTGTTGACTTCCTTACTCTTCCTCCCTGAGTGTTCTAGAGGGTGGAAGTTAAAATCACGTGCTTCTGAGGTGTACAGGCTTCTATGGTACTGTGTGCGGAATTGGTGGGTTTTTGGTCTCGCTGACTTCAAGAATGAAGCTACGGACCCTTGCGGTGAGGGTTACAGTTCTTAAAGAGGGTATATCCGGAGTTTGTTCCTTCAGACGTCCAGATGTGTCTGGAGTTTCTTCCTTCTGGCGGGTTCGTGGTCTCGCTGACTTCAGGAATGAAGCTGCAGACCTTTGCGGTGTTACAGCTCTTAAAGGCTGCACGTCTGGAGTTGTTCCTTCCTTCTGGTGGGTTCGTGGTCTCCCTGGCCTCAGGAGTGAAGGTGCAGACCTTCACGGTGAGTGTTACAGCTCATAAATGCCGCACGGACACAAAGAGTGAGCAGCAGCAAGATTTATTGTGAAAAGCGAAAGAACAAACCTTCCCCCGCGCATGAGGGTACCCGAGCAGGTTGTCACTGCTGGCTGGGGTGGCCTGCTTTTCTTCCCTTATCTGGCCCCACCCACATCCTGCTGATTGGTCCATTTTACAGAGAGCCGATTGGTCCGTTTTGACAGAGTGCTGATTGGTGCATTTACAGTCCTTTAGCTAGAAACAAAAGTTCTCCAAGTCCCCACCAGATTAGCTAGACATAGAGCACTGATTGGTGCATTTACAAACCTTTAGCTAGACACAGAGTGCTGATTGGTGCGTTCACAGTCCTTTAGCTAGACACAAAAGTTCTCCAAGTCCCCACCAGATTAGCTAGACACAGAGGGCTGATTGGTGCTTTTACAAACCTTTAACTAGACGGAAAAGTTCTCCAGGTCCCCACCCTACCGAGAAGCCCAGCTGGCTTCACCTCTCAATGGCACTGGCCACGGGACTTTGTGGCACCTAGCCCAGGCACTCCAGCAGCCCAGAGGGAGCTTGTCCCCCAAACAAGCCCAGCAGGCGCGGGCTGGCCACCAAGCCGGCGCCCACCTGGAACCCGTGTGGCCTGAGAGCAGAGGGAGCGGACTCTTGCCTCTGCCAGCCCCAGAGGGGGACCCCCACAGCACAGCAGCGGGCTGAAGGGCTCCTGGAGTGCGGCCAGAGTGGACGCCGAGGCCGAGGAGGCACCAAGAGCCAGGAAGGGCTGCTAGCACATTGTCATTTCTCAGTACTAGAGTCATAGGGATTGCTAGAGACTCTTCTCGTATTATGGTAAGGTCATATGTTCTCATAGGATCATATAGAATTCCCAGAGGAGGATGATTAAATTTATTCCAACAAGAGGCTAATAAAGCAGAAATGATGACTTCTTTACTGTTGAAGGGCTGGCAGTCCACAAAAACAAGTGCCAAGAAGGCCAAAATAGCAAAGGATGTTACCACTGCCCCCACCACATTTATATTCCCAAACCTTCCACACACCTACATTCACATTCAAATAGTATTAAAGTATAAGCACTTCTCATTGGTCTTCAGGTTTTTTTTTAATTAGATAGATCAGTCTTCTTAAACAGCATTAACATGTTTAAGCTTCCTGTCCTTTGGTAGTGACTTAAGTTGTCAACTTCCTTAAAAGTCATTACTGACGGCAAAGTATTTCTTTTTGGTCATTTCAAGACATCCACGTGTTTTTTTGTTTTGTTTTGTTTTGTTTTGTTTTTTCGTCTATCTCTATCTCAGAACTTATAATGAAGTATTGTATTGTAGACTTATTTTTCTGACCCCAAGAGACTGGGTGGGTGTCACCTGAAGACATGTCCTGTGTATCAAGTATCCATGAATACTTGACATACAGGATGATGCCAAGAACAGAGCTGATATTCACAAATGTAGAAATAAATGCTTGTATGTACATATTATTTTATCTGATCCTTACAAAACCCTAGGAAGAAATTCAGAAGTTACAAAACTCAGTTTGATGAATAAGAAAACTGAGATTCACCAAGTTTAGATTCTTGCCTAAGGTCACAGCTAACAGAAACTGGATCTGAGTATTTGAAATTAAGTCTTCTGACTTCAAAATAATTCACTATTCTGTCCTCCACTTGTCTTCCCTGACTTTGTGAGAACTTTTCTTTTGGAAAAATTTGAATAATATTTGAGTTGGTTATAAAGCATAACTAAAGTTTTCCCACTGGTGTTTTAGAACACAAAAAGAGACATTTCTCTTTCATTTCTGAGAAGCGTATATTGAGTAGATTTTCATTCAGAATGCCTTTGTGATTTCTTTGCATGTTTTTTAATCTGTTTTAAATAATCTGAAAGTAAAAGAAGTTATTTTAAATATTTGCATATAATGATGTATTTGTTAAAAGCATATCTTTTTTTCACTATACTAAAAGCCTAGCCAAAATTGAAATCAATTTAGTCTAATTTTTGAACTTGTATTATGTGGGGTGGCAGGCAAAAAAAAAAAAGACAAACCTGTACTCTAAATATTATATATGTGGGAACCAGTAAAGATTTGAACAGAACAATGAGACCAACATTCTCTCTACCAGAAAAGAATTTAAATAAGAAAAAACTACTGATATGCAGCACCAATACGCTAGAATCTGACAGAAGCTGTATTTTTAAAGTCACTAACACTCTTAATATTCAAAACACACCTGGGAAAAAGCAGTAAGTCAGTACAAAGTGAAAGAAAATGAATAACAGGAGTAAACCTCAACCACAAAATATAAAGTATGTGAGGCCTACTAGATATGCCGTAAGTGGATCTACATTTAGTGTGAGATGAGAACAATCTGGCATCAATAATAACAATATCCCATTGTATGATCATTATCAATCACTAAATGCTTTCTTCCCTTTCAAATAAAGGATTCAGCATTGTGACATTTTGCCTTTCATTTTGTTGTTGTTTAGTAGAATGACCATACTTCCTGGAAAACTAGAAACTCCCAAGGGAATTGATTCATTCTTTTCTCCCAAACTTCTTTCTATCAAGTATTAAATAAAGTAAAGCAAAGACTCATTTGACCAAATCTTTCAAAGTTACCATTATCTACCTTCTCTATAGATTATTTAAGACAATCATTGATGATGGAAAATAATTTTCTAAAGACTGTTTCCAAGAAGCACAAAATACTTTTGGTTTTTAATTCAAAATCCTGTATTTGAATTTCAACAATTCAAACAAGAAATTGGAAACCAAATATTGGTATTTTGTACACCAAACTGTGTTTGTTGGTTTCATTCCCAAAGAAATAGCACTAACTAGGAAGAGAAGTATGAGTTTTAGGCTTTCAAATCGTGGCCATCAGGACTTGAGAGGAAATATGCAGGTGCCCCAGTTTTAGGGATGTTTATTGGATACGTCCAAATGATGCAACTTCAGCAAAACTATCTTATCTTCGTGATTTGGTCAGTGATTTTTTTTTTTTTTTTTGTAAGACGGAGTCTCGCTCTGTCGCCCAGGCTGGAGTGCAGTGGCGCGATCTCAGCTCACTGCAAGCTCCGCCTCCCGGGTTCACGCCATTCTCCTGCCTCAGCCTCCGGAGTAGCTGGGACTACAGGCTCCCGCCACCACGCCTGGCTAATTTTTTGTATTTTTAGTAGAGGCAGGGTTTCACCGTGTTAGCCAGGATGGTCTCAATCTCCTGACCTTGTGATCCGCCCACCTCGGCCTCCCAAAGTGCTGGGATTACAGGCGTGAGCCACCACGCCTGGCCGATTTGGTCAGTGATTTCTATGCAGGGGCCTGGAGACAGGCTTTGAGTACCTCAGTCTTTTTTTTTTTTAACTTTAAGTTCTGGGGTACACGTGTGGAATGTGCAGGTTTGTTACACAGGTATACATGTGCCACGGTGGTTTGCTGCACCCATCAACCCGTTATCTACAATAGATGTTTCTCCTAATGCTATCCATCCCCCAGCCCCTACCCCCTGACAGGCCCCAGTGTGTGATGTCCCCCTCCCTGTGTCCGATGTTCCCCTCCCTGTGTCCATGTGTTCTCATTGTTCAACTCCCACTTATGGGTGACAACACGTGGTGTTTGGTTTTCTGTTCCTGCCTTAGTTTGCTGAGAATGGCGGTTTCCAGCTTCATCCATGTCCCTGCAAAGGACATGAATTCATCTTTTTTTATGGCTACATAGTATTGCATGGTGTATATGTGCCACATTTTCTTTATCCAGTCTATCAGTGATGGGCATTTGGGTTGATTCCAAGTCCTTGCTATTGTGAACAGTGCCGCAATAAACATACATGTGCATGTGTCTTTATAGTAGAATGATTTATAATCCTTTGGGTATCAGTCTTAATTTAGCATCTTGTGGTTCCAAGTGAGAAGTTTAGGTAGACAGACCCAGAGATGCCAATCAGAACTCAACATGCTCCTTGCAGCACTGGGAAAGAAAACGCAGGGTGGAGGAAGCACACAGTCAGTGGTTATGACAGAGATAAAGAATGCTGATGCTTTGTTACAGCTTCACTTTCATGTATTTGTGAGCTCTTTCTAACTTTTCCTTCCACTGATATGACATACATTTGGAAATTATCAGTTCTCCTCAGCAATTTATCAATGAAATGGCAAGGATTCACTAAGGAGTGATAAACAGGCAGGATGTTTTGTCAACAGCCTGAAATACGTTAATCAGCTTCTGGAATGCCAACAATTTAAATTCAAATAGATTTCTCACTGAGCCTGAGATCTAAAACCCTGTGATGCTGTTTCTGTTTATTGGATTAATGTAGATTTTAGGTTCCTTTGTCCTCAACTCTTGGGAATCCCCCCTACTATTTTTTTCTTTGTTTGGATGGCTTAGTTGGAATAGAAAAAAGTGTGGTTGATTTCTTCAGAAGTGTTATCTGTGTGACCTCATACTCAACTGCGGGAATAACAGAAAGGCAGAAATCGGGAAATAAAAATCCTGTTGCCGAATGAGAATTCTACATCTCACTGCCGTTTGGAATGGTACAGTGATTCATATTTCAGGCACCTCAATTAGACATTCATTATTCATAAACACTTATGTAACTCTGAGTTATTCAGGCTGGGAGAGAACATTGCAATCTTTCTTTTTCCTTTTCTTTATTATATGACATCTTATATCAAAAAAAAAGAAAAAGCTAAAAAAAAAACACTCTGCTACATGTAAATCTGAACTATTTATTTTAGGCAAAATGGCATGAATAAAACAAAGCTGATCTACATTTGGCTTTGTCTTGTCAAAGAAGCAATCTGAACAAATAGGCTAAGATCAATTCTATTAGAGGTGAAATACGGACCAAGATACCAACATTGATCCCTTCAGCCATGGCCCTTGCATATAGTTCCAATGTACAATAATACAGGTCAGGACCTGGAAAGGCCTAAATGATAAGACTAAGTGTCAAAATCAGTGTTGAAAGGCTGCTCAAACTACAGAAAATGAGGTATCCAGGCATTTAATAAGCATGCATTGAGCTAAGCACATACCACCACTAAAGATTCATTTGCATGTGGGATTAAAACATCTGAAAAGTTGACAAGGGAACGTTTTAGAGACTCTGAGATGGTGACATCATTATGACACAAGGCACTGTTGGTCTGAAGCACACTGGTGAGTGTCCCCAACCATAAATTTGGAGATAGTTCAGGTGGCATCTGAGTATTAATCAAAAGAAAATAGATACTTGTCTTACTCGATGAAAATAATAATTATTTTTTTTGAAGGGGCATCAATAATTTAACAAATATTTGTGGTTTACTTTGTGTTCAGAACATGTTGTAGTCTATGTCAGCACTGTCTGGTAAAATACATGGTGAGCCATATATGTAATTTTCAATTATCTAATACCTGCATGGAAAAAAACTAAAAAGAAACAGGTGAAATACATTTTATATGTTTTAGTTAAACTAAAATATTGAAATATTGTCATTTTGTTATGTAATCAATATAAAAATTATCAATTTGCTACTTTACATTTTTCATACTAAATTTTTAAAATCTGGTGTGTATGTTACACTTATCTTGATTCAGAAACTAAATTTCCATCAGAAATACTTCATCTATATTTAAATTTCACAACATTTATGGTTTAAACACTGGACTCACATAGCCAAATTGCTCCCAAAATATCTAAAATGTTCTCCTATAAATGAATTATCAGTTTTAAAATATACATTTAAATTATTTAAAATAAAATAGCAAATTTAGATCTGCAGTCTCTCAGGCATGTGTTAGTCCTTCTAGCAACATGCCAAGTCTGAGTAGCCACAGGTATTGACACCTGCACCTGTGGGAATGGTGACCCTGGGGATGTGCAGGGTGTAATCATATGCAGTGGCATTAATCTTTGGGGAGAGTCAGAATTCATTTATAGCCTGGTGGTGGCTAAGAGATGGCAGAATTATAATAACTGAGGAGGCTAAGTACTTAACATCAATTTGCAGGGCAGTCTCATTTTATCAGGAAAAGCAAGAATGGCAGAGGCAAGAATGCGATAGCTGTTCCTTGACATTGGAAAACCTTCAGCAAAACCCAGGGTTTGGGGGTTCCCCCTGGGTGTCTGAAATGTAGCATTCAGCACTAGCTCCAGCCTTTGGGCAGCTGTGGGGGCCAGAGACCAAGTGTGGTCCCTGGCCCAGGGTGGGATTAGACAGCATAAGTGGTGTCAAGAAGTATATGTTAGAGTTAATGAAGAGTAGGCAGTATGTGGATCACAACTCTAGGGACCATCAAATAAAACTTCTTTCAGTTAAGGCATTTTGTTTACTGTTAAAGAAGACAGGACTCTAGGATGTGTCTTACTTTTCCAGAACATGTTACAAACTGATGTTTCTTGAGATTATGTTGGGGTATGCTCAGCCAGTCTCTCTCACCGGGTTCTAGAGACAGCTGCTGCTGATTTTGAGGGTAAAAATCTAGTATTCATTGATCTGAACAGCTGAAAGCAAATCCCTTTTGATGCAATCAGATTGACTCAAAGCATTAGACATTTTCTCTCTGTGCAGACTAGGCTAAATGCCCTTGGATAGTCTGTTTCATGGGCTTAGCCTTAGCAATATGGACCTGGATTAATTACTCTGGCATTGTGTAAACTCTGTAACTATGTAGAAATAGTATTATCTCCTATCATATCTCTATGTCTGAACATTATATGCAACCTTCTGTTTATTATCACAGTAAAAAAGTCTGTCCAAATCATTGTATATGCATAATTTCTATTATGTTTAGAGGGATTGATGATTAGAAGTTGATAGGAAGACATTATTTAATAATTACAAGAGAATGCATTCTTTAACAAGGATAATATACCTCATTAAAAATAAAAATCATTGAATTATTTCTCTACTGAAACATATCAGTGTCAGAAATAACATGACCCTAAAGGATATCAGTTGTGAATAAAAGCCCCAAAGTGGGGATTAAAGTATTAATAGTCATGGGGGTAGGTATGATTTTGCAGAGGTAGAAACTGAAATACAGATAAATAACTTTCCCATGGTGTCTGTTGTATGTAGTGAAGCCAGGATTAAAAAACTAAGGCCTATCTAACTGTGTTTTTTCATAATGAGGTACTAACTATGATACGAATGCTCCAAAGCTGTCAAACCACGAGAGGAATAATGTATTATACCGATTATTCATTCAGAAAAACAATACAAGTACTTCAAAGTAGCAAGAATCTACTCTAAACACCATTTTCACAGGTATAAAGCAAAAATAGGATTTGATCTTTGAAAATATCTATTTTAAAGAATTTAGTATATTGTGCTTTTATATCAATTATGTACTGCCTTAAACATTCATCAAGTTCTGCTCTAAAATGCAGCATCTCTGAATATGACCTGCAGCTTCATATGCTATAGACAGAGTAGTCAGAGAAAGTAGAAAGCAGGGGCACCCATTGCCTTTGAAGAGTTTTCAGTGAAAAATTTAAAGAAAAAACGCTAATCACAGACATAATGTAAGTATATGAATATAACTATTTTCCCCTAAATCTGAACATAGATAATGCAACATAAATCTCATGATAAAGAGCAATCTCTACCTTATATAGCTTAGTGGAGAATTAGAATATAATTAGTAAATGTTGAAAATAAAGATCAACTATGTTGATGGTATTTTAAACCATTCAGTTCTGTATATCGACATTTTGCCAACACTATGCTAATTCTATGGCTCTCTTTTTGGCCCTGAGTTTACTTAGTATTCTCCACAGTATACTCTGACCTCGCAAATCAACATTCATGGTACAAAACATTAAAAGTACAGAATATATTATTGTTAAGAAGAGGATTCACATGTAAAGATGACAATGAAAGTGTTCCTGGGGAAAACTAGCAAGGGAGTGGAAAGTGGGATGGAGAAGTAAAGTCAGTGTGCCAAATGTCATGGAATGTAACCTTGGCTCAGATCCCACAGGGAAGCTCTTGAGATAAGTCACATGTCACAGCTGTCTGAAGCAGGGGCTAGAAGCTGGAGACTTTATATGCCTACATCTATCAGACGTTGGTTACTTTTCCCAATTTCCCAACTACCCTTATGTTCAGGCAAGATGGGTTCTGGCAGCCTGAGGGTTGTCCGCAGACAAAATCTTATGGATTCTAGCTATTATTTGATAAAATTGACATGTTCACACCTTATGCCCCAGCAATTTCAATGATAGGAAGACATCCCAGAAAAATGCCTGCTCATGTTTATGGGAAGATGTGTATTAAAAATATGCAGAGAAGCAGTGTGTATTGTATAATAACCCGAAAATGAAAACAACTTAAATGTCCATAAACATCATCACTGTTCAAAGCATATGCTACATTTTATATAAAGAAATACAATTTGAAATTCAAAGGGAATACACTTCAAGTAAATACACATGAAAGAAAAATCATAATGTTGATTAAAATAAGTCATAGAAGAATACATACAATGTCATTTCACTTACATAAAATCCAAAAACAGGTTAACAGTATATACTTTAGGAATATATGCATATATGATAAAACCAGAAAGAAACAGAAAGGCATGCTTTATTGAAAGTGAAGGCTATCGGTTACTTCTAAGTTGCAGGGAGGGAGATGGTGTCACAGGACCACCAGATTTGTATGCTTGCTGTGCAGTAACAGACAAACACACTGAGACAGCAGGGTTTGCAACAGAGAAAGACTTTAATGATTATAGGGCAGCTAAGCAAGGACATGAGAACGACCGTCACATCCATCTCCCTGAGGAGTTCTGGGCTGGAGTTTTTAAGGGGATTGTGGAGGGTGAGCGGCTGTAAAATTGGGGTTTTGATTGGTTAGGGTAAGAGTGATGAAATCATCTTGATGCGGAAACTGAATTTTTTGTCAGCTTCTCCTGGGGTACTTTGGACCAGCTGGTGTCAGTAATTCCACCCATATGTAGGAGCTATTGTAGATCAAGATATGAAGATAAAGAAGATCTAGCTTCTGAAACGCAGTTCTATAATTAAAGAAGTGATATAACGGTATAGGGACTTAGAGGGCCGACTATGACTTCCTAGGTTAGAAACATAGCTTGGCCACTTAAAAACTGAATAACCTCAGTAGAACCTCATTGATTTCACTGAAAATCAACTTCCTTATCTATACCATGGAGGTAATAATGCTGACTACCTTATTCACTTTGTGGGGATTACATAAGTTAATACATGTAATGCATTTCAAGCAGAGCTCAGAGGCAAGTGAAGCACTCATTAAGAAAACATTCTTGGCCGGGCGCGGTGGCTCACACCTGTAATCTCAGCACTTTGGGAAGCTGAGGCAGGCAGATCACGAGGTCAGGAGATCGAGACCATTCTGTCTAAGACCGTGAAACCCTGTCTCTACTAAAAATACAAAAACTTAGCCAGGCATGGTGGCGGGCGCCTGTAGTCCCAGCTACTCTGGTGGCTGAGGCAGGAGAATGGTGTGAACCCGGGAGGTGGAGCTTGCAGTGAGCCAAGATCGCGCTACTGCACTCCAGCCTGGGCAACAGAGCGAGACTCCATCTAGAAAAAAAAATTCTTTTTAATTATACATGATTTTGATTGCACTGAAAAAGGGTGGGCCAGTTGCACCTGTAAGAAAAATCTTATTAGTTTTCTGTTGGGACTACTGAGGGACACAGGATGGAAAAGCACTCTGAACAGACAAATTGGCATGTGTGCAAAGCATTGAATTACAAAATAACAAGGGAAAAGGTGTTCAAGGGAAAGTGATGGAGAAGATTGTATGGGAGGTGGCAGGAGACACCTTGATATCATGTGGGGCTGTCTGATAAATTTGCATTTTGTCTTAGAGCTATCTGTAATTCTTAGGAGATTTTAAACATGGAAATAGCATACAGACTATTTCACTAATAACCAAGTATGCCTTGTGGAGGATGAACTGAATTAGGACAAAGTTGTTAGCAAAAGACCACTAATAGCTGTTTCAAGTGAAAAATGTTGATGGATTTAAGTAAAGCAGGGTAGAAGAAAAAGAAAGCAGATTAAACAGATATTTCTGTAGAATTAACTATACTCCATAACTGACTGACTTCAGAGATAGAAAGATGCTAAATTATGCTGCAGAACAAGCTACCACCAAAATCTCACTGATTTACAAAAAGGAAGGTTTAGTTCTCACTAAGATACGTCCTGGCAGCTGCAGCATTCAAAATGTATTTGTTTGTTCATTACCATTTATCATCTCTTTCTCTGTCACTGTTGACAAGATAGAGATACAAAGTTGTTCAAAAATATTTCAGGTGTAACTATGTATACATTTGTTACATGAATTATCACAACCTTAAATCTTTTATTTCTATTGTCTTAACCATTTTTGCCACACAGAAGCTATTCATATGACAATTAAGTTGATATTTTTGGCCGAGTGTGGTGGCTTACAGCTGTAATCCCAGCACTTTGGGAGGCTGAGGTGGGAGGATCACTTGAGCCTAGGAGTTTGAGACCAGCTGGGACAACATGGCAAAAACTGTCTCTCTAAAAATACAAAAGTTAGCCAGGTATCCTAGCACACGCCTGCGGTCCCAGTTACTCAGGAGGCAGAGGCACAAGGATCACTTGAGCCGGGGATGGGGAGGCAGAGGCTGCAGTGAGTGGTGATCGTGCCACTGCATTCCAGCCTAGGTGATAGAGCCAGACCCTGTCTCCAAAAAAAAAAAAAGACTTTTTTTGTGGCAGTGTCTCAAACAGACACAATCTGACATAATTTAGCATGTTTTCTTTATTTTTGACACAGGGTCTGGCTCTGTTGCCCAAGCTGGAGTGCAGTGGTGTGATCTTGGCTCACTATAGCCTCTGCCTTCTTGGCTCAAACAATCCTCATGCCTCAGCCTCCTGGGTAGCTGGGATTACAGGTGTGCACCATCAGTACCTAGCTATATTTTTTGGTACTTTTAGTAGAGATGGGGTTTTGCCATGTTGCCCAGAATGGTTTTGAACTCCTGGGCTCAAGCAATCCTCCTCCCTCAGCCTCCAAAATGTTGTGATTCCAGGCATGAGCCACTGTGCCTGGCCCATAATTTAGCACTTCTATCAAATGCAATTATGACATGAAATATTTCTGGTTAACAACTGACAATGTAACTAATACAATAAGTTTTATTTACATTTTATGGGCAGATTTTTTTTGGTGCATTCTGTAGTCATGAACAAATTAAATGGTCATTATCCTCATGGAGATTCTAGCAAAAAGCAAATTATAATTACCCACATTTTCATACCCAGCTAAGAGTCCTAGAAAGCCTCCAACCTGTTCTAGCCATTTTCTCATATTTGTACAGCTGCAAAAAAAATATTTTTGAGTACATTATGTGAGCTAAATTGTATTTCAGGTGGTAGAGACTATAGATAAATATCCTCTTTCATACAAACTAATCCTTTCATTTTGATGCATTATTTTTGAGGTTCATATGAACCACAACCACATCACTTGAATTGATGTATTGGAAATGTGATAAACATTGTGTCCAGACTGTATTTGCTATTTATTAGAACTTACCTCTCCTTGTATGAAATTAAGTATTTGTTTTAGATCAATTTCTTTGAGTTGCTTTCTTTTTTCTTTTTTAAGTGAAATAGAAAATGAAGTCTGTAGAATCTGGGGACCTTCCCTTGACTAAAAATGAGTTTCCATAGTATTACCATAAAATCTATGGTAACCCATTTCATACTGAAAGATTCTTGATTGCTTACCTGTTGATGTCATTCCCTAGGTGACGTCTCCTTAAAGACATTATTGTATCCCATTTTTATTTGTATACACAGCATCTAACATCATGTCCAGCATAGAATATGTGTCTAATAAATGTTGGTTGGTTGAAAGATAATTTTCATCTGCAGTTTCTTTATGCACATTCGAGTTTAGTATCTTCTGAATTATTGTTTTGTTTTATATATGACTTACATGCACATTAAAGTAAGAAATTTTCCAAAGAGCTTGAGTAGCGCTAAGATTGGTCATTTTCAAGCATATCAAAAGACAATGAGTGAAAATACTGTAGCTATACTTTATTACTCTGCAAGCGTATGACTAAATGCAGCTGACTCCTCCACACAAAATTACCATAGTGGTTAAGAGTGAGATTTTAGCCTAATACCTAAGTCTGAACCTTTCTCTGCTGCTAACTCATTGTGTGATTTTTGTGCAAATTACCTACATTTCTGGACCTCTATCTCTTCACTTTTAAAATGGGGATCACTTTGATAATTGCACCTATCTCACAGAGACATTTTCAAGATCGAAGGAGTTTAATAGTGTATAAAATTTAGTAAAATTCCTGGTACATCATAATTGCTATGAAAGATTGGTTATGGGACTCAACAAAATCTGTTAAATAAAAAAAGTATGAAAATATGAAAATATATAATAACATAGTAACATACTACAATTATGAATATGGACTCAGTTCTAATTCTGAATAGTAGGGAATGCATTTGGAATTATTAGTAACTAATATGATATATTCTTTTGTAATAACTATATTTTTCCATGCTTAGGTACTGATCACTCAGGATTCTAGTTGTGAATGATAGCAGCAACACTAGCTATTCAAACAGAAAGAGATTTATTAAAGGGACTTTTTTACTGAAGTTTCTAGACAGCTACAATCAGATTTGAAATGCCACCACCAAGAACAACACCTACATCTCCCCAGAGCTCCTCAGTGAAGCCAGCACTGCTATACCCACTGCTGTAGATGCCTGATGATTCTGGCACTGCGTGCCAAGCTGCCCGGGGTGGCCTGGGAAGACCAGCTGGCTCTGACCCTAGCCTTGTCAGAAAATCAGTTTGGCACAGAAATTGCTTTATCTCTCTAGAACCAAAGTCTTGTGTTTTTCTTTCTGTTGGGCATTTAAGTCAAATACCTCTACTCTAGCTGCAAGGGAAGCTGAGAAAATGAACTTCTGAAATTCCCCAAAATATGCAGGTTGTTCAAAGCTGCTCCCTGGCCACCAAGGTGTCCTCAGGCACAGAGACATTAACTAGAAGAGGATTCCTTGAGCGCCACAAATAAGAACTTATGGGGCCTTATTTAGTTGACAGGGGTGAACAGTACCTGGAATATCAGTTGTAAATGTAAGGAGAATTCTCACATAGAGTTTAAATTGCTTAACTATATTCAATTATTTCAAAAACATGAAACGAATTATACTAGATATAATCTCCCATAGGATTTACTGAGGAATACAGAGAAGAGTAAAACACCCTGCTCTGATTCTTACAGTGAGCAAAGAAGGTGTCAGGAGTAGAGAATTTTTTCCCACATGCAATGTGGGAAAAGTATAAAGTACCCTACAGATGCATTGAAGGAAACTCCTCTCTTTAGGAAGAATAAGGAGAGTCTGAATTGATTTGCTGGTTAAGTGTATTGGTCTGTTTTGCATTGTTATAAAGAAATACCTGAGGCTGGGTAATTTATAAAGAAAAGAGATTTATCTATACAAGCATGGCACCAGCATCTTCTCAGCTTCTGGTGGAGCCTTAGGAAGTCTTTACCCTTCATGGAGGATGAAGGGGTGCAGGTACATCACATGATGACAGAAGGAGCAGGAAAAAGGAGGAAGTTTCAGGCTCTTTTAAACAACTAGCTCTGACATGAACTAATAGAGTGAGAACTCACTCAGTACCAAGAGGACAGCACCAAGCCATTCATGAGGGATCCACCCCCATGATCCAAACATCTCTCACTAGACGTCTGAGACCATCTCCAACATTTGTGGCCACATTTCCAGATGAGATTTGCAGGGGTCACACATCCAAACCATATCATTGACCAAACATTTATTGAATTTCATATTACCAATGAAGGTACAAATTAAGTAATATATGTTCCATGGAATTATTAAACTTTCTCCACATGTTGAAAGATTTATTCAGGCATAAAAAGTTTCTATTTCCAAGAAAGGTACGTAAGTGGAAATATATAGAGAATTTTCAGGGAAAAATATGCTTTTTAATTTGACTAAAAAGTTGGTTAGATCCAGAAATATGGTGGGTTCTTTGTGAATGCCATAATAAAGAACTGAGGCATGACACTCATTTTATTATTTTTAATTGTTTTTCCAGAGAAGAGGCTGACATGGTTAAAGTGTGTTGTTAGGAGATTTCCATTGTCAATGTGGTACAGATCAAATAAAAGTGAGAAAGCTCTTTTATTATACCAAATAGCAGATACGGTGAATTTTAAATGCTTCATGGTAAAGAGAATAGAGTGGAAAGTGAGATGCAGATGACATAGATTCTATGGTTCTAGAATAAAATTATTAATTTTAATGAATGTGTGGAGCAAGACAGATATGAATCTCAGTGACCATGCTGGAAGGACTGTGGTGTTATTTACATCTATAGAAACATGATGGAAAACACATTCTGGAATTTAGAAAAAAATTTAGATAGAATTGTTGTGTTGAATGAATTATATTTGTTTTCTGTTGCTGGATAAAAAATTACCATAAATTCAGCAGCTTAAAACAACACCCACTTATCAACTCACAGTTCTATAGGTCAGAAGTCCATGTGGACCGGACTGCATTCTCTGATATGGGTATCATGAGGTGGAAGTGGATGTGTTGGCCGGACTAAGGTACTTGGAAGCTCTGGAAACAGTCTCCTTTTAGCGCATTCAGATTGTTGACAGATCAGTTTCTTGCAGCTGTAGAAATGAGGTCTCAGTTTTCTTCAGCAATGGAAAACCCCCCTTACATCAAATCCCTGTCTTGATTTCAGTCTTTCTGATTTCTGCTTTTGCTGGCAGTTTAGAAAATCACTGCTTATTTTATTAGATTAGGGATATGATTTGGCTATGTGTTCGCACCCAAATCTCATGTTAAATTGTAATTCCCAACGTTGGGGGAGGGACCTGGTAGGAGATGATCATGGGGGGCAAGATTTCCACCTTGCTGCTTTTACGATAGTGAGTGAGTTCTCAGGAGATCAGGTTGTTTAGAAGTGTGTAGCACATCCTTCTTTGTTTCCTGTCTCCTGCTCCACCATGGTAAAACACGCATGCCTCACCTTCACCATCCGCCATGATTGTAAGTTTCCTGAGGCCTCCCAGCCCTGGTTCCTGTATAGCCTGGGGAACTGTGAGTCAATTAAACCTCTTTTCTTCATAAATTACCCAGTCATAGGTAGTTTGTTTACAGGAGATTGAGAACAGACTAATATAAATAGGCTCTTCAGAATACTTTCTCTATCATAAGGTCAATTGATTACTAGACTTAGACAAATAGTGTGCAGCTGGAAGTGCTCTCTGGAACTTGGAAGAGGATTGAAGTAAGAGATATACTCTGAAGAGTGAATTATTCCAGTAGTGCTATGAAGAGAAGTGACTGACATAATCAATGAAGATTATATTGAGAAGCAAAAGTGAAAAATCTGAGATCTTGCAGGTAAAAAATAAATAAATAAATAAGTCTTAGTGAAAAGATCTCAATTTCATTTATGGGAGTAAATGCCAGGAATTGAGAGCGGGAGGTAAAATATGTATTGTTAGACTTGAGGAGGTCATGATTCTTGAAGTGGAATGAACGTGCACGTCTAAAACACCTAAAAGTAACGGGAAAATAAAAGAAATGAAGAAAGAAAAGAATAACTTCCCAGATATCTAGCAAAAGGGAAGCAATAGAATACACCAGCTGAGGGACTTGTAAGGAACACATCATCTGAGGAAACGTTCATTGCAGTAAAATGAGAAGATGGAATGTGAATAAGATAAAAATGCAAATTATGTAGAAAGCATAGTTGCAAGAACACAGGGTGGACTAGAGACAAAAAGGGCTTAGGAGGTAAAGAACAATCCCCTAGTGCACATAATCTCTTGTTTTCATCTCTTTGCCTTGGATCACGGGCCAATCATGACAGCAATGGTGCATTTTCATCTTTGAATCCATGACACATTGTTGGCCCTCAATAAATTTGCATTAAACAAATGAAAAGCAGGTAACCAGAAGCGATCTGTGCCTACAAGAGGAGCTGTGTGTGCCAGGAATTAGTCTAGCAGGAGCTTGGTAGATTATACTTCCTGGAAATATAGATGCATATAATTTTAAAGATATAATCATGAAATATTAAAAGAATTGTAAAAGTGGCAGTGAATTATTTAGAAACAGTGTCCCTGCATGCATGATACAATATTCAGATGTGTGTTAAAATGTATGCTCCAAGGAAAGTCTTGGTATAGTTTTATGTGCGCTGCATATTTTCAAATAATGCTGGAAAGCAGTTTAAAGCTTTTGAATTTCTTCATCCCGTTTTCCTGTCTCCTTGTAGAGCTCCCTTTGATTTCAAAGGTGCTTCATTGCTAGAATGAGAAATAGGTGGTAGGAAAGTTTAATTCTTTGAGGCTAAAGTTTGAAACAGTTTTTCATTTACAGATAAAAATTCTACCTTTGGACTTCAGCATTGTTCAGTTTTCCCCGAGATAAATCCGTAGAAGTAGCCTACACCTGCCTACACCTTGTGACTACATCTTCAGATTATATATATGCAGGCACAGTTTTAGAAATGGGCTGGCAAAGGAAGCAAGAGGGAACAGAAGATAAGATGCTCCCCTCCTCTGTAAAAGAGATACTGTAATCATATGATTGTGTTTTTAGCCACCGAAAGCAAAAACCGACTGATATTACCTTTAGATGCTAATGATTTATTTGATAGAAATACATTTTTGCTTTAAGCTTATTGATCATGCTCATTTATAAATGTAAATTTATTCTGTCATCAGGATTCCAAATCATTTAAAACCTACAAATATTTATTGAATGTTTCTTGCTAAACTCTGTGGTTGGTTTTGGGAGGATGTGTAAAATCCAACACTTGATCTCCAGGGATTTTCATCACCTAGGAAGGAGAGATAAATACATTTTCTTTTTGAATGGAAAACTAACATAGCAAAAGAAACAAAAATGCTATAAATATTCAAAGTATGAGATGTTAGTCCTATCACATCCTTTGTTGTATGAGGATAAATATAAGTAAATATAAAAACACTTATATACATGGCAGATATCACTTGGTATTAATTCTCCTTCAGCTCTTGGAAAAATAAATCTTATTGAAGAGCCCTATAAACACCACTTCTCACTACACTTACTGCATAATTTTAGAAAGAGGTTTAATTAACATGAAATAGCTACACTCAACTGGTCTAAAGCAGCTGTGTAGCGTGAAAGTCACACAAAGCCCCAGTCTCAATGATGTATTCCTCTTCCCACCTCAATCATCATAATCCACTTTCTGTGGTACTCCAGTAAGTTCAGGGAGGCTTTCTTTCAATACTGCAAGTCCTCATTGTCCTCCTCTTAATTCTCATACCTTTTCATTTCAGAATTCTCTCTTGGATCTTTGATAGTACTTGTACCACCTACTGGCTCAAACATTTATTTTAGTTGCTCTGAAAGCACAGGAGGCGAACAAGAGGCAAAAGTGGAGACTTTGGGCATAGTGGCCATTGGGTTTGTGGCAGATTTTTCTGGCCCATCTCAGTAAAGAAAGGAATCATAGTGTTTGGGGTCTTAAGGAGAGGACAAGGAAGATATGAGCCAGGTATCAGCATCAGAGAGACCATATGGCCACTGAAATCTCAAACTGGATCATAGCATACTGACAGTGCTTACATGGCCCGCATTCCTTGAATTCTGAACCCTCAAGATGATGAAACATGGAGAAATAGCTGATGTAAACTTATAAATACATAAATCATTAGGCATAGGGTAGGCCTCTATAAAATTGATAGTTGAATTGTGACTCATCACTTGGGATTGGTGGGTTACAAATGTGTAAAGCCTCAGGATTTGCTCTCTGTTTTCACCTTAATTTGCTTATTTATTAAATATGTAGAGAGCAGGGATGAGGAACCACTAGCCTGGGAGCAGGATCCAATTCTCAAGAAGAAGTAATTGTTTATTATAGAGAAGTAAAGTAGCAGAATGAAAGAGGAAAGAAGGAAGGAACAGCAAGAGGGAGGGATGGATGTTAATTTGCCCCACTTGGGTCAAGTCTACCACTCTCTACTCCATGTCTATAATATTAATCTCTGTGTCATAAGGGAAGGTTCTGTGACTGGCAGCCACACCGTAACTAGTTGGAAGAGTTGTCCAAAGCAAGTTAGTTTGCTCCTTCTGAAAAAAGGAGAGCAGTTGTAGAAAGTTTGCACAATGAAAAAAGTTTATATTTATTTGAACTGTTGTATTAGTCTTCCTATTATTAACAGAGACTAGCCAGGCAGCAATATTTAACTATGTGAATAATAAAGACCAGAAGTCAATTTTTTTTAAAGAAACCATAGCTGGCCAGAATAATTAAAGCTGCATGTTTTCACAGTTTGAGGTTCTGTTAAGTCAGGAATTAAGTCATTGTCGACACAAGATAGGTCAATCTCATTTAGTAGCATGCCATTGTAAATTAGGTGATTTCTCATCACTCCTTGCTGCTCCATGATAGTACAAATGCTTGTCAAAAGCTTTAATGGTCATAGGTAAAACACTAATTATGTATCCCACAATAGTTGTTACAGTAAGGTAATTCTTTGTGTCTCTAGGGTAGGTAAATGTTTCAGTTATATATTTGCAATGAAAACTGAGGACAGTTACAGTGGCTCATGCCTGTAATCCCAGCACTTTGGGCAGCTGAGGTGGGTGGATCACCAAGGTCAGGAGTTCAAGACCAACCTGATCAACATTGTGAAACCCTGTCTCTACTAAATACAAAAAAAAAAAAATAGCTGGGCATGGTGGCATGTGCCTGTAATCCCAGCTACTTGGGAGGCTGAGGCAGGAGAATCACTTGAACCCAGGAGGCGGGGGTTGCAGTGAGCCAAGATTGCACCATTGCACTCCAGCTTAGGCAACAAGAGCAAAATTCCATCAAAAAAAAAAAAGAAAGAAAGAAAATCGGGTACCATCCTATCTTGATGAACACAAATGTGTAGAACCTCAGGATTTACTCTCTGTTTTCACCTTAATTTGCCTATTTATCAAATACCTGTAGAGCAGGAATGAGGAACCACTTCTCTGGGAGCAGGATCCAGTTCTCAAGTTTGATTTTATCTAATCTATAGAGAGTTGGTATTCTGCCATGAAAAGTAAGTCTTTCAAATTAATGTCCTTAAAATGCCCTTCATCTGGTCCAATCAGAACAGAGTAGGAGAAAACAGTGCTAGAGACACAGATTCTCAGTTAGACTTTCTGATTTAAAGGCCCAACTCCACCACATGATGGAGTGTAACCTGAATGACTTAGTCTCTCTGTGTGTGTTTCTGTTTTATCTGTAAAAGTGGTATAATACTAGGACCTACCTCATATAGTTCTTATGAGGATTAATTTGGATAATATTTTTAAAAATGTTTGGAACAATGCTTGGCAAACGAAAGCAACATAAGACTGCCCCTTAAATGAAAAAATGAATAAATAAACAAAGTTCCTCAAGTTTTAAGTACATGTAAAAAGCTTTTGTGAGCTAATATTTTATAGCTATTAAAATTATACAAATGGTACACATTTATTATAAAACATTCAAGTTGAATAACTGAAATAAATTACTCATAATCTTACAATCTGGTATTGATAGTATTTTAGCGTATTTTTAAAATTTTTGTACATCAAATTAGAATCTTACAGTTTAACTGTATATTCTCATTTGTAATGGTATTGTCTTATGTGGAATTCTATAAGCATTATTCCATAGTCTTACATATTTTAATAATATATTTTTTAACTAATTCCTTGTTGCTAGATTATGAGCTTTGTTACATATTTAGATAGGTTCCAATTTTGTCACTTTTTATGATGCTGTAATAAACATTCTTTATGAAAGTCTTTGCCCACTTTTGGGGTGATGAGAGCACCTGGAAATGAAACTGAGAAAAAGAGAGGAACATGTAAATTATTTGATCAGTAAATCTATAAATATTATGCCAATTTACATTTGCAGTATCATTATTACCTCTCATGGTGACAATGTAACCGAATTTTACCAAGGTCAATTTTCCTTACCTAACCCACGCTTTGGAACCAGCTGAGCCTTCTCTCCTCCAGGTCTCTTCCCATGACCTCTTTTCCCTCCCTCTACTTGTCTTTAGTCTTCTCTCCTTTGTCTCTCCATCTCTGTATTTTCTTCTTTTCAGTCCTTTTTATCTGATTCTAGTTGCTGCTAAAAAAATATATATGTCTCATGAGGTATGTTCTTCCCAACACTCATAGACTTTATTCTAACTTCAGAGTAATGGCTGTCTGCCCACTCCTTCCTTTGTAAGTAAGAATCTGTGACTTGAAGAATCACATTTTTTCACTCTGGCATAGTACATTTGCTAGTGGTCTTAATAATAGTGGGCCACTAGAAAAGTAAGTTTTAATTGTGTTTTTAACTGTGGAGAAATGATAAGAGATGTCTTCGAAAATAGCAAAATTATTGATAGGATGTTTCTGCTGCAGCCTACAAAGTTAGTTACTTTTCACTGGAGACTGAGTTTATTACATGAGCGGCCTGTCTTAAGTTTCTTGCCATCTCTCAAGCACATTCTCTAATATAATTTATTCATTGAAGCATACAACTGTGTTTCTGCCTTAGGGCTTTATTTTCATCTCCTCACAATATACAAAATTAAACCCCAAAGACAATAGCATTATATGTTTCAAATAATTCTTCAATAGATATTTGTAATTTATATTTCATGCAATATAACAAGATGCTGTGCATTGATTGAGAGCACTGTAGAGAATGTAAACTAAACTGTAAAATGTGTCCAGAATATATTTCAACTAAGATGGTTTTATCAGTCTAAACTTAAAATGTGTTTCAAAAATCCTGCAATACCAGGATTCTGCATCTATTGTGCTGATTTTGCTCACTTCTGACTTTGTAACTTTTTCTGAAGGAATCACATTTTTAAAAATTTTTAAATATGTAATTAACAAAAATTGAATATACTCAAGGAGTACAATGTAATGATTTGATATTTGTATGTACGTTTGCAAGGATTATCAAAATCAAGTTAATACATTCATTACCACTCATGCTGTACATTAGATTCAGACTTGTTAATCTAATTGGAAGTATACATGATTTGACCAACATCTCCCCACTTTCCTAGCCCCTTGAAACTATCATTCTACTTTCTGCATCTATGACTTTGACAGTTTTAGATTCCACTTATAAGTGAGATTGATTGTACAGTATTTTTCTTTGTTTATCAAGCTTATATTCATAAAATGTCCCTCCAGTTCATTCACGTTGTCACGAATGACAGAATTTCCTTCTTTTTATGGCTAATATTACAGTGCGTGTGAATGTGTTTGTGCTTGTGTGCATACATGTCACATTTTTGTTATCTATACACCTGTTGATGGACACTTATGTTGTTTCCATATCTTGGCTATTGGGAATAATGTTGCAAAAAGCATAAAAATGCAGATATCCCTTCAACATACTGATTTCAGTTTTTTTAGATTTGTACCCAGAAGTGTGACTGCTGGATCATACAGTAGTTCTATTTTTAATTTTTTGAGGAATCTCCAAACTGGTTTCCATAATAATTGTATCAGTTTAAATTCCTACCAACAGAGGAGTATAAGCATTCCCTTTTCTCTACAGCCTCCCAAACGTTGTTGTTTCTTGTCTTTTGATAATAGCCATTCTAACAGGTGTAATGTGATTGTCTTGATTTGCATTTCTCTGATAATTAGCAATATTGAACACTTGTTCATGTATCTGCTGGCCATTTGGTTTTTCATTTGTTTGTTTTGTTTTGTTTTTGAGATGGAGCCTCACTCTGTCACCCAGGCTGGAGTGCAGTGGTGCGGTGTCGGCTCACTGCAAACTCAACCTCTCAGGTTCAAGCGATTCTCTTTCCTCAGCCTCCAGGGTAGCTGGGATTACAGGCACCCACCACCACATCTGGCTGATTTTTTTGTATTTTTAGTAGAGACGGGGTTTTACCATGTTGGCCAGGCTGGTCTCGAACTCCTGACCTCAAGTGATTTGCCCGCCTCAGCCTCCCATGGTACTAGGATTATAGGCTTGAGCCACTGCACTTGGTCTCTGCTGGCCATTTGTAAGTCTTCTTTGAAAATGTGTCTTCACTTTTTAGAAATTGTTTTGTAATTGAGTTCCTTATATATTCTAGACATTAACCCTTTATCAGGTTTAAAAATATTTTCTTCCATTCCGTAGGTTGCCTTTTCATTTTGTTGATTGTTTCCTTTGCTGTACAGAAGTTTTTAGTTTGATACAGTCCCACTTGTTTATTTTTGCTTTTATTTCCTGTGATTTTGGTGTCTTATCCAAAAAATCATTGCCAAGACCAATGGCAAGAAGCTTTTCCCCTAAGTTGTTTCCTAGTTGTGTTACAATTTCAGCTCTTACATTTAAGTCTTTCATACATTTGGAGTTAATTTTTGTATATGGTATAAGACGAGGGCCAATTTCACTCTTTTGCATGTGGATATCCAGTTTTTCAAACCCATTTATTGTGGAGACATCTTTTTCCTCATTGTGTATTATTAATGGCATTATCAAAGAGTAGTTGATCAGAAATGCATGGGTGGGTGTTTTTCTGTGCTCTGTATTTTGTTTCATTGGTTTATGTGTCTATTCTATGCCAGTACCATGCTCTTTTGATTACTACAGTTTTATAACATAGTTTGAAATTCGGAAGTGTGGTTCCTCTAGCTTTCTTTTTTTTTTTTTTTTCAAGATTGCTTTGGTATTTTCATTTATTTGGGGCTTCTTCAATATTTAATCTGTACCTTATAGTTTTTAGTGTATGGACCTTTCACCTCCTAGGTTAAATTTATTCCTGAGCATTTTATTGTTTAGATGCTATTATCATGGGAACATTTTCTTAGTTTATGTAGATTTTATATGTAGATTTCGTATCTGCAACTTTACTGATTTAGTTTTCTAGTTATAAAAGGTAAAGTCTTTAGGGTTTTCTGTATATGGTATTATGTCCTCCACAGAGATTATTTAACTTATTTTCCAATTAGGATGCTTTCTATCTGTTTTTTTTTTAAACCCAACTGCTCTAACTTGGACTTCCATACTAGGTTGAATAGAAGTGACAAGAGTGTGCACCTTTGTCTTGTTCTTAATCTTAGAGAAAACGAATTAAGCTGTTCACCATTAAGAGTAATGTTAGCTGCAGGTTTGCCATGTATAGCCTTTGTTATGTTGAAGTATATTCATTCTACAACTATTTTGTTGAGAATTTTTATGATAAAAGAACTTTTAATTTTGTTAAATGCTTTGTTGCATCTATTGAGATGATCATATGATTTTTAGCCTTCATTCTATTAATATAGTATATCACACTTTCTGTTTTGCATATGTTGAACCATCCTTGCATCTCAAGGATAAATTCCAGTTGATCACAGTGTAGACCTTTTAAATGAACTGTTTAGTTCACTTTTTCAGTGTTTTGTTGAGGAGTTTTACATCTGTGTTTATTAGAAGTATTGGCCAGTGATTTTCTTTTCTTGTAGCATCCTTATCTGGCTTTGATATGAACGTTACTGGCCTTGAAAAATTACATTGGAAGTGTTCCCATCTCAATTTTTGGGGGGGAGATTTTGAGAAGAATTGGTGTTAATTGTTTGTTCTTAAATACTTCATAAAATTCACCAGTGATGCCATGTGTTTTAGGCTTTCTTTGTTTTTAATGGGAAGTTTTAATTACTGATTTAATCTCTTTACTTGTTATTGATCTCAAATAGCCTATTTCTTTATGATTCAATCTTGGTATATTGTTCATGTCTAGGAATTTATCTGTTTCTTTGAACTTATCTAATTTGTTGGCATATAAGAGTTCATAGTGATTTCTTATGATACTTTGTATTTCCGTGGTATCGGTTGTAATGTTTTCTTTTTCATTTATAATTTTATTTACTTTGTTAGTCTTTTTTTCTTTGTTAGTCTAGCTAAAGGTATATAAATTTTGTTTATGTTTTCAAAAAAACTCAGTTTCATTGATCTTTTCTATAGGCTTTTCTTTATTTCTAGTTTTTATCTTATTATCCAATCTTTTTCCCCTTTATCAAGGAAAACTTCTGATAAGGTTTAGCTGTGTCTGCACCCAAATCCTATCTTAAATTGTAGTTTCCATAATCCTCATGTGTTGTGGGAGGAAGCCAGTGGGAGGTAATTCAATTTTGGGGGTGGTTACTCCCATGCTGCTGTTCTCATGATAGTGACTGAGTTCTCATGAGATCTGATGGTTTTACAAGAGGCTTTTTTCTCTTTGCTGGTCTTCTCTCTCTTGCTGCCCTGTGAAGAAGGATGTGTTGTTTCCCCTTCTGCCATGATTGTAAGTTTCTTGAGGCCTCCTCAGCCTTGTGGAACTGTGAGGCAATTAAACCTCTTTCCTTTATAAATCACCCAGTCTCAGGTATGTCTTTATTGGCAGCATGAAAATGGACTAATACAGTAAATTGGTACTGGGAGAATGGGGTGTTGCTGTATAGATACCTGAAAATGTGGAAGCGACTTTGGAACTGGGTAACAGACAGAGCTTGGAACAGTTTAGAGGGCTCAGAAGAAGACAGGAAAATGTGGGAAAGCTCAGAACTTCCTAGAGGCTTGTTGAATGGCTTTGACCAAAATGCTGACGGTTATATGGACAATAAAGTCCAGGTTGAGTTGGTCTCAGATGGAGATGAGGAACTCGCTGGGAACTAGAACAAAGGTGACACTTGTTATGCTTTAGCAAAGAGACTGGACGCATTTTGCCCCTGCCCTAGAGATTTCTGGAACTTTGAACTTAAAAGAGATGAGTTAGGGTATCTGGCAGAAGAAATTTCTTTTATATGTATATATATATAAAAAATATATATATATATATATTTATACTTTAAGTTCTAGGGTACATGTGCACAACATGCCAGTTTGTTACATATGTATACATGTGCCATGTTGGTGTGCTGCACCCATTAACTGCTGAAGAAATTTCTAAGTGGCAAAGCTCTCAAGGAAGCAGAGCATAAAAGTTTGGAAAACTTGCAGCCCCACAGTGTGATAGAAAAGAAAAACCCGTTTTCCAGGGAGAAATTCAGGCTCACTACAGAAATTTGCATAAGTAACATGGAGCCAAATGTTAATCACTAAGACAATGGGGAAAATATATCTAGAACATGTCAGAGACCTTCATGGCAGTGCCTCCCATCACAGACCCAGAGGCCTAGAAGGGAAATATTGTTTCCTGGACTGGACCCAGGGTCCCCCTGCTCTGTGCAGCCTCGGGAGATGGTGCCCTATGTCTCAGCTGCTTCAGCACCAGCTATGGCTAAAAAGGGCCAAAGTACACCTTAGGCCATAGCTTCAGACAGTGCAAATCCCAATCCTTGGTGGCTTCCAGGTAATGTTGGTGCACAGAAGGCAAGAACTGAGGTTTGAGAACCTCTGCCTAGATTTCAGAGGATGTGTGGAAATGCCTGGATGTCTAGGCAGAAGTTTGCTGCAGGGGTGGAGCAGTCATGAAGAACCACTGCCAGATCAGTGTGGAAGGAAAATGTAGGGTCAGAGCCCCCACACAGAGTCCCCACTGGGGCACTGCCTAGTGGAGTTGTGAGAAGAGGACCACTGTCCTCTAGACCAGAGAATGGTGGATCCACTGACAGCTTGCTTTGGGCACCTGCAACAGCCACAGTCACTCAATGCCAGCCTATGAAAGCAGCCAACAGAAGGGCTATACCCTGCAAAGTCACAGGGGCGGAGCTCCTGAAGGTTGTGGGAGCCCAACTCTTGCATCAATGTGACCTAGATGTGAGACATGGAGTCAAAGGAGATAACTTTGGAATTTTAAGGTTTAATGACTGCCCTATTGGATTTCAGAGTTGCATAGGGCCTATAGCCCCTTTGTTTTGGCCAATTTCTCTCCCACTTGGAATGGGTGTATTTACCCAATGCCTGTACCTCCATTGTAACTAGAAAGTAACTAACTTGTTTTTGATTTTACAGGCTTATAGGTGGAAGGGACTTGCCTTGTCTCAGATGAGATGTTAGACTTGGACTTTTGGGTTAATGCTGGAATGAGTTAAGACTTTGGGAGACTGTTGGAAATGGATGATTGTGTTTCGAAATGTGAGGACTTGAGATTTTGGAGGGGTAAGGAGAGTGGAATGATATGGTTTGGCTCTGTCTCCACCCAAATGTCATCTTGAATTGTAATTCCCATAATCCCCATGTGTCATGGGAGAGACCCGGTGGGAAGTAATTGAATCATGGGGATGGTTACCTGCACACTGCTGTTCTTATGGTAGTGAGTGAGTTCTCATGAGATCTGATGGTTTTATGAAGGGCATTTTCCCCTTTGCTTGGCACTTCTCTCTCCTTCCACCTTGTGAAGAAGGATGTGTTTACTTCCCCTTCCATCATAATTGTAAGTTTCCTGGGTCCTCTCAGCCCTGCAGAACTGTGAGTCAATTAAACCTCTTTCTTTTATTAATTACCCAGTCTCAGGCAGTTCTTTATAGCAGCATAAGAACTGACTAACACAACTTCTTCCCAGAATATACCCAGATATAAATGAAATAGATAATAAATCAAAGTCAGCTGTACTGAGTTTGAATGAGACTGATGGTCTCTTGAGCCCAGAGTTTAGTTTCTAACAGATCTGGAATTGAATCTAGGCTTCTTCCCTAGCCATTTCTTGGAGGTAGCCCCTTTGGAAGTATGACTAGACCTTTCCAATCATTAATCTCTTTGTCTCTAAAGTAAGCATAATATCTACTTTTTTAGGGCTGTGTTTTAGTATTAAGGAAATAACCTGTTTAGCTCAATGCCAATCACACTGTAAATATTAAGTTAATGGAAAAAATGCTAAAAATAAAATTGATAACAATAATATAGAGAACCTTTTGGCATGGTTGTCTAAATAAGAGAATAGATAAAAAAAGAAGTGCAAACTATAGACCAAATGTTTGGATCTCATATTAGTTTAGCATTTGGAAACTGGCTATAGAACTAGACAATTAATATTCTTTGCTAATAATCTATAACATTTGTTAAACAGTTCGAATTACAGTAGAACCACCAAGAATTCTGAAAACCCAGTAAGTTAAGTTGATGACATGACTGGCTGTCTGGATGCTACGGGGCATGAGCTTTAGCCATACTCATTAACTTTGATACCCCAAAGTCACCCCAAAGAAATACAAATACAGTGTATTAGGTATGCAATATCCGCTTCAAGACAAAACTTACAGTCATTTCTGGTATGATCAAATTGATTCCCCTAAGTCCTTGTTATAGGAAAAATTATGACACACCCACTTATCAGTAAGACACGAATGTAACATTTCCTGAGATTTATAATAGTTATTGAGAAAAGGAAAAGAAAATTTATGAATAATAGAAATAATTTTCCTTTATGTTTTGAAAAATTAACTCTTATTTTTCAGTTATCGAACATGTACCTTCAATTCTTCAATTTAGAGTTTATTTATGATAACTAACTTTGATATCCTCTGAGAGCATGTCTAGAAGATGGCAAATGCTTTTCACCATGAATTAGTGCTGAATGCAGTTTTAAAAATCTTACCTTGTTAATCTGTTAGAAGATAGTAGCAAATAACAATACCACATTGCTTATTTGTTGAATAGCAACAATTTCAATAATTCAGTAGAAGACATAAGTTATATGACAGATATATATAATCATAAATCTAATATATTTGTAATGAAGACAAATATTAGCTTATATGTATGATGTTTAATCTTACTTTAGACTCTAAATAACTGTGTGATATTGGAAATTTACTGAAATTCGTAATGATTATATTTTATTTCTTTGTAAAATATAGTAATTTGACTTAATGATCTCTATGATTACATTATTCTCTAAATCTGGTAAAGGTGAAACTTTAGAAATTGTGTGTGTGTCTATATATATACATGAATACATGTGAATATATTCATAGACACATACACATATGTACACATACACAAACATATATTCACATCCATATATATTTTTTAATTGGGTAGAATATGGAGTGAGGAAACTTATTGTATTCACAAATTGAGTACTTAGTAAATATTTCATAGATTTATTAAATAATTTTACTTTATGATATATATTAGCAAGTTCCCTGTGCTTCCCTGTGCACGTTTTGAAGATTAAATGTAGTAAAGGATATAGAGCACTTTTTTTTTATTATACTTTAAGTTCTAGGGTAGATGTGCACAACGTGCAGGTTTGTTACATATGTATACATGTGCCATGTTGGTGTGCTGCACCCATCAACTCGTCATTTACATTAGGTATTTCTCTTAATGATATCCCTCTCTGCTCCCCCAACCCCACAACGGGCCCTGATGTGCATGATGATCCCCGCCCTGTGTCCAAGTGTTCTCATTGTTCAATTCCCACCTATGAGTGAGAACATGTGGTGTTTGGTTTTCTGTCCTTGTGATAGTTTGCTCAGAATGATAGTTGCCAGCTTCATCCATGTCTCTACAAAGGACTTTAACTCATCCTTTTTTATGGCTGCATAGTATTCCATGGTGTATATGTGCCACGTTTTCTTAATCCAGTCTATCATTGATAGACATTTGGGTTGGTTCCAAGTACTTTTTATATGTCTGGTACTCATGGTATGTGCTCAAAGATTCAGAGAAGTTATAGCACTTCAATGTGAGTCTGATAGTCACAGATGCATCATTATGAGGATAGTGTGCCTGGGATGAAGGGAAAGGTAGAGAGGAGGCAGAGAAGAAATGCCCTGAGGGTCCAGATTGGAAGAGGATTCGGTGGAGAGAACTTTTCATTTCAAGAACAAGAGAAAAAGAGTAGAAGGAACTCAGCCTGAAAGTATTCCCAATCGAGGACCTCACCAACTGACTGCCCATGCCGGGAACAGTTGGCCATCCCACAGTCTAAGAGAAACTAATGGGCACACACTGTAAAATGTAATAGGAGTTTAATGTAAATGGGTATCTAGACTTTGGAACTTGGGCGTATACCACTAAAGATGTTAACCTAAGGAAAGTATAGAGTTATCAGTAATAACATGTCAGTTTGTTTCTTGTTTGGTTGGTTTGCTTTTAAACAGTAGGATAGACTGCTTGCTATACACATGTTAGAAGCTTTGTAGTTGCTAACTGGCAGGCAGTAAAGCACGGTGGTTAAAAGTCATGCCCTGGGTCAACATACTAGCTGCTTTTCTTACTATCCATGTGATCTGTGGCAACTTACCCAACCTGTCTATGCTTAAGTTTCTTTAATTGTATAAAACATGTGCAATAGCACTTGTCTCCTACAGCTGTTTCAAGGATTAGCTGAGTTTACCTGAGGAAAATATCATAGATAATAAGTTCCCAATAAAAGCTGTTACTTTAAAATCATTTAATTCAGGTCTGGAGAAAAACAAACTTGGAAAATACCAAAATTGAGAGGGGAAAGGCAGGATGAAAATCTCACAGAAAATAAATGGTTAGAGTTGATGGACGACCAGGATAACACAGTGTCTCTGATCCCCAGATAGTATAGAATAGAAAGGAAAACCCTGTTACATAAACAGTGTCAAATACTGTATTAGACTGTTCTCACACTGCTATAAAGAAATACCTGGGCCAGGTGCGGTGACTCACCCCTGTAATCCCAGCACTTTGGGAGACTGAGGCAGGCAGATCACGTGAGGCCAGGAGTTCAAGACCAGCCTGGCTAACATGGAGAAACCCTGCTTCTACTAAAAAAACAAAAAATTAGCCAGGTTGGTGGCACATGCCTGTAATCCCAGCTACTCAGGAGGCTGAGGCAGGAGAATTGCTTGAACCCGGGAGGCGGAAGTTGCAGTGAGCCGAGATCGTGCCACTGCACTCCAGCTTGGGCAACATGAGCGAAACTCCATCAAAAAAAAAAAAAATCTGAAACTGGGTAATTTATATAAAATAAAAAGAGGTTTTATTGGCCATGGTTCTGTAGGCTGTACAGAAAGCATGATGCTGGCATCTGCTCAGCTTCCAAAGAGGCTTCAGGACACTTACAATCATGGAAGAAGACAAAGAGGGAGCTGACACGTCTTATTTGGCAGGAACAAGAGCAAGAGGAAGGGCAGGGAGATGCTACTCACTTTTAAACAACCAGATCTCGTGAGAACTCCCTCATCATGATGAGAACAGCACCAAGAGGATGGTGCTAAACCATTAATGAAAAACCACCCCCATGATCCAATCACCTCTCACCAGGCTTCACCTCCAACATTGCGGATTACAAGTCGACATGAGATTTGGTGGGACAAAGATTAAAACCATATCAAATACTAAAATTTAAAGATTAAAAACTGAAATCAGAAAAAATAAGCCAACTAGAAATTTGTTAAAAAAAGAATATAAGATATTGATTGAAAAGTAAGTTATTATTCTGTGTCACTTCCATATAAAACATTTTTTAATTGGCATGAATATTTAGAGTTAAATAAATACTAGTAGTGTGGTTAAGGGTTTCTGTACTTTATATTTTTCCTCATTTGTTTATAGTGTTTTTTCTCAAATTTTCTTTCTTTTCTATTAACTTTAAAGATTCTATTGATTCTTGTACCAATAGAGAGTTTTAATAGGTTTATGAATTGGCAAGTTCTCTACTAATGGATGGTGAGAATGATTCATCTTTAACCCCAAATTCAAATAATATCAAGAGACTGTTAAAATGGTGCATGACGATTTTAGCCTTTGTTTCAGTATTAAACTAGTGGCACTTCATTAATTTTTAACGGGATTCAATTTGCCTGTTAAGTAGTTTATAGAATCATCTTACTTTTGGTTTCCTAAGAAGGCCAAAGTATTTTGCATACTCCTTTCTGTTTAGCATATTTTTTCCATGTCTCTCCATGAAATAAAACCACATTTGACAATAACTTAAGATTGGTATTGTCAAGTGTTTGCAACCTTTAGGGGTCTTTTGTTTTAAATACCTCCATGGAAAAAGAAAGCACACGATGCGGAATCGGACTCATCAGAACTCAAACTGATTTCTGTTACTAGCTCTCTGTGGCCTGGGCAAGTCACCTAAACTCTGGAAGATTTTGTTTTTAGCATGTGTAAAATAGGAAATTTGATAAATGTAACATTTAAGTGTATTATGACATGTGACCACTAAATGAAAACTTTTGTTACAAGTATTTTATGGGAATAATGACTAAGGATTAGCATTCTTGATATTTAAAAAGCTCACAAATTGGATAAGAAAAACGATATCACAAAAGCTAAAAAGAGATTATTCAGTTAATAATTTTATTATTAGTGTATGTATGTAAAATATTTAACATCACTACTTAACATTTAAAAAGTAAAAACCACAGTGATATTCATTAAGGTAGGTAAATTTTTAAATAATGATAAATATAATACAAAAAATGTGGAGTTTTATTCTATACCAATCCTGAATCATATTATTTATAATTTTACCTACTTTTAATCAATGTATATTCAGATTCATATTCTGCTTTTTAAAAATAATTTGAAAATAATACATATTATTTATATCAGCTATAAAGTATTCTATATGATCATTCTATCTCAAGTTACCCAACTTTCCCTTACTGATGAAAATTTAAAAGTTTCCAGTTGTAGTTGATTATGAATAGTGGTAGATGGAAGCAATGAACATATTGGTGCACATTATTTCCTCATTTAAGGGAAGTGATGACAATGGTAGTTATTTCTATAGTAATGCAGATTCCATGACTGGGAAATTGGAGTTTGTGAATCAAAGACATTATTCTATTTTTACTTGAAAAGAGTGTGTTGCCACATTATCTCACAAAATGATACAGTGACCACTTCCTCCATCTAGAAAACTTTTCTCCTTGGCTACCACAATGCCACACACTCTCACAGTTTTCTTTCTCTCTCACTTGGCATTCCTTTTCTTTTTCCTCTAAATAGTTATTAGACATTGGCACGTCCCATCAAGTCTTGGACAGCACTTCTTTCACTAGATCATCCCATCTAATCTCATCTTTCAATACCATTCAGCTACTGATGACTCCTAAATTTATGTCTTAATTTCATCTTCCTGAGACCCAAACTCATCTTTAAAACCGATATGGGAACTTGACACCTCAAGTTAAGACTAAAACACAGCTCCTAATTTTCATCCCCAAATCTCTTTCTCTAATCGTTTTTTTCCGTTTCAGGAATTGCTACTAACTCACTTCAAGTTTCTCAACTCAGAATGTCTAGAAGTCAGCCTTGATTCCTTCTTTTCACTTGCCATAGTCGCCAGGAGCTCTCACCCTGAAATACAGGCTGTCAGGATGTTCTGAGAATACTCTCATATATCCACTTCTTGATACATCCACCTCAGGCCAACTCACTCACTATTTTTACTTTTCCCTGTTATTGTTGGAATATCCATACAACTTATTCTTGATGTAGCAGTTATAGTGGTATTTTCTTCACCAAATAAAACAATGTTTACATTGTAATTTGATCAGAAGATGCTAAATAGATATTTCGAGCAGTGCTCATTGAGGTATGTAGAGCATCTCATGCTTTCTGAATTAAAAGAACATGTACAGTGTACATAATATTTGGTCAGGGACCCTAAGACTGGTGAGTTTTATGTTTTTTCAGAGTGGTAAATTAGTTAATGCAAAGCAGGTGTTCATTTATAGCTTCAAGTAGGAAAATTCACTGTCCTATAAAAATAAATTTTATAAGCACTGTAGCTATCACAAAGTTAATATTATGTTTTGAGGAATTAATAAAAAAATTATATAGTTAGCAATTGAATATTTAATCTCTTGTTCCTGTAGTATATATAAGTAAATATAAAGGAAAATGGAAAAAATAGACAAAACATACAGACTTTTAAAACCTCAGACATTTGTCAGTTTCCATGTAGTTGAGCGGTTTTGAGTGAGTTTCTTAGTCCTGAGTTCTAGTTTGATTGCACTGTGGTCTGAGAGACAGTTTGTTATAATTTCTGTTCTTTTACATTTGCTGAGGAGTGCTTTACTTCCAACTATGTGGTCAATTTTGGAGTAGGTGTGGTGTGGTGCTGAAAAGAATGTATATTCTGTTGATTTGGGGTGGAGAGTTCTGTAGATGTCTATTAGGTCTGCTTGGTGCAGAGCTGAGTTCAATTCCTGGGTATCCTTGTTAACTTTGTGTCTCGCTGATCTGTCTAATGTTGACAGTGGGGTGTTAAAGTCTCCCATTATTATTGTGTGGGAGTCTCAGTCTCTGTAGGTCACTAAGGACTTCCTTTATGAATCTGGGTGCTCCTGTATTGGGTGCATATATATTTAGAATAGTTAGCTCTTCTTGTTGAATTGATCCCTTTACCATTATGTAATGGCCTTCTTTGTCTCTTTTGATCTTTGTTGGTTTAAAGTCTGTTTTATCAGAGACTAGGATTGCAACCCCTGCCTTTTCTTGTTTTCCATTTGCTTGGTAGATCTTCCTCCATCCCTTTATTTTGAGCCTATGTGTGTGTCTGCACGTGAGATGGGTTTCCTGAATACAGCACACTGATGGGTCTTGACTCTTTATCCAATTTGCCAGTCTGTGTCTTTTAATTGGAGCATTTACCCCATTTACATTTAAAGTTAATATTGTTATGTGTGAATTTGGTCCTGTCATTATGATGTTAGCTGGTTATTTTGCTCGTTAGTTGATGCAGTTTCTTCCTAGCCTTGATGGTCTTTACATTTTGGCATGTTTTTGCAGTGGCTGGTACCAGTTGTTCCTTTCTATGCTTAGTGCTTCCTTCAGGAGCTCTTTTAGGGCAGGCCTGGTGGTGACAAAATCTCTCAGCATTTGCTTGTCTGTAAAGTATTTTATTTCTCCTTCACTTATGAAGCTTAGTTTGGCTGGATATGAAATTCTGGGTTGAAAATTCTTTTCTTTAAGAATGTTGAATGTTGGAGCTTCTGCACAGCAAAAGAAACTACCATCAGAGTGAACAGGCAACCTACGAAATGGGAGAAAATGTTCGCAACCTACTCATCTGACAAAGGGCTAATATCCAGAATCTACAATGAACTCCAACAAATTTACAAGAAAAAAACAAACAACCCCATCAAAAAGTGGGCGAAGGATGTGAACAGACACTTCTCAAAAGAAGACATTTAGGCAGCCAAAAAACACATGAAAAAATGCTCATCATCACTGGCCATCAGAGAAATGCAAATCAAAACCACAATGAGATACCATCTCACACCAGTTAGAATGGCAATCATTAAAAAGTCAGGAAAAAACAGGTGCTGGAGAGGATGTGGAGAAATAGGAACACTTTTACACTGTTGGTGGGACTGTAAACTAGTTCAACCATTGTGGAAGTCAGTGTGGCGATTCCTCAGGGATCTAGAACTAGAAATACCATTTGACCCAGCCATCCCATTACTGGGTATATACCCAAAGGATTATAAATCATGCTGCTATAAAGACACATGCACACGTATGTTTATTGCGGCACTATTCACAGTAGCAAAGACTTGGAACCAACCCAAATGTCCAGCAACGATAGACTGGATTAAGAAAATGTGGCACATATACACTATGGAATACTATGCAGCCATAAAAATGATGAGTTCATGTCCTTTGTAGGGACATGGATGAAACTGGAAACCATCATTCTCAGCAAACTATCGCAAGGACAAAAAACCCAACACCACATGTTCTCACTCATATGTGGGAATTGAACAATGAGATCACATGGACACAGGAAGGGGAACATCACACTCTGGGGCCTGTTGTGGCGTGGGGGCAGGGGGGAGTGATAGCATTAGGAGATATACCTAATGCTAAATGACGAGTTAATGGGTGCAGCACACCAACATGGCACATGTATACATATGTAACAAACCTGCACATTGTTCACATGTACCTTCAAACTTAAAGTGTAATAATAATACAAAAATTTAAAAAAAAAAAACTCAGACATTTGTCCCACCTTCCCCTGTTTTTAATAATGCTCGTTGTTTTGTTCCTACAGTGTCTGAGTATTAAGTATTTTCTAATGAGACCTTTTGTGAATTAGATGGTTAACGAAAGAGTGAAAACATTACTTATCAAAATACTAATAAATATTTAAATATAAATATACTTATTCTTAAGCATATTTATATATAAATATTCTTAAGTATACACTTAAATATATATACTTAAGTATATATATTTAAGTGTATACTTAAGAATATTTATAAATATACTCATTCTTCAGCATATTTAAATATAAATATACTCATTCTTCAGCATATTTAAATATAAATATACTCGTTCTTCAGCATATTTAAATGTAAATATACTCATTCTTCAGCATATTTACATGGAAATATACTCATTCTTCAGCATATTTACATGGAAATATACTCATTCTTCAGCATATTTACATGGAAATATACTCATTCTTCAGCATATTTACATGGAAATATACTCATTCTTCAGCATATTTACATGGAAATATACTCATTCTTCAGCATATTTACATGGAAATATACTCATTCTTCAGCATATTTACATGGAAATATACTCATTCTTCAGCATATTTACATGGAAATATACTCATTCTTCAGCATATTTACATGGAAATATACTCATTCTTCAGCATATTTACATGGAAATATACTCATTCTTCAGTATATTTAAATATGAGTATACTCATTCTTCAGTATATTTAAATGTAAATATACTCATTCTTCAGTATAATTACATGTAAATATACTCATTCTTCAGTATAATTACATGTAAATATACTCATTCTTCAGTATATTTCCATGTAAATATACTCATTCTTCAGTATATTTCCATGTAAATATACTCATTCTTCAGTATATTTCCATGTAAATATACTCATTCTTCAGTATATTTCCATGGAAATATACTCATTCTTCAGTATATTTACATGGAAATATACTCATTCTTCAGTATATTTACATGGAAATATACTCATTCTTCAGTATATTTACATGGAAATATACTCATTCTTCAGTATATTTACATGGAAATATACCATTCTTCAGTATATTTACATGGAAATATACTCATTCTTCAGTATATTTACATGGAAATATACTCATTCTTCAGTATATTTAAATATGAGTATACTCATTCTTCAGTATATTTAAATATGAGTATACTCATTCTTCAGTATATTTAAATAGTTGAGTCAGTATTATATCTTCTAATTAGGTTTCTAATAATAATTTCAAAAACTATGACATGTTTTCTTCCCATTTTTTTATGGCTGAATCAAAATGTTGAGATTTATAACTTGGACCCCGTATTCTATAATGTCACACAGACATATATTTTTTTAAATTTTACCTTAAGTTCTGGGATACATGTGCAGAACATGCAGGTTTATTACATAGGTACATGTGCCATGGTGGTTTGCTGCACCAATTAATATGTCATCTGGGTTTTAAGCCCCACATGCATTAGGTATTTCTCCTAATGCTCTCCCTCCCCCAGCCCTCCAACCCCTGACAGGCCCTGGTGTGTGATGTTCCCCTTCCTGTGTCCATCTGTTCTCATTTTTCAGCTCCCACTTATGAGTGAGAACATGTGGTGTTTGGTTTTCTGTTCCTGTGTTAGTTTGCTGAGAGTGATGGTTTCTGGCTTTATCCATGTCCCTGCAAAGGACATGAACTCATTCTTTTTTATGGCTGCATAGTATTCCAAAAATGTATATGTGACACATTTTCTTTATTCAGTCTATCATTGATGGGCATTTGGGTTGGATCCAAGTCTTTGCTATCATAAATAGTGTTGTAACAAACATATGTGTGCATGTGTCTTTACAGTAGAATGATTTATAATCCTTTGGGTTTATACCTAGTAATGGGATTGTTGGGTCAAATGGTATTTCTGGTTCTGCATCCTTGAGGAATCGCCACACTGTGTTCCACAATGGTTGAACTAATTTTCACTCCTACCAACAGTGTGAAAACATTCCTATTTCTCCACATCCCCTTCAGTATCTGTTGTTTCCTGACTTTTTAATGATTGCCATTCTAACTGGTGTGAGATGAGATCTCACTGTGGTTTTGATTTTCATTTCTCTAATGACCAGCGATCATGAGCTTTTTTTCATATGACAAAAATATCTTATAACTAGGTTTGATTCTAGTCCAGTATGCTTTTTGTTATAATATGTTACTTAAAGCTCAGACAGGAAATGCAATTCTATTTTGGGGAATTAAAATTAGTGATGTGGTGGTCATAAAGATGTGGGAAAACTTTTAGGATAGTAGAAGCTATTGTCCTTATTAAGGTGTACAAAGAATTTTGGACCTGTTTTTTTTTTTTTTATTTGATTTTCAATTATTTTCTCTACATTGTCATTTTAGCCCATTGCTATGTCAACCAGTTTCAGCTTGCCCTATGGGGGAAAAAAGCCTATTAAAGAAATTCTTTACATGAAGAATTGATATCTCTGTGTTTATGAATGTAACACTTTCAGAAGATTGCACTGAAAGCAACTATATTTACAAGGCTTATCTGTCCTGTGTGTGTGTGTGTACTTATCCTAATGTTGTTAATGTTGTTTCTCATTCAGAGCCTTGTGAAGTGGGACTGCTACACACATTTTAAGTTAATATCAAAACACACCCACAATGCTTTTGGTGAAATTGTTTCATGTTGCCAAGTATACATATGCCAAAAATCTCCCCTCTTTATCAAAACAGATACGATAGTTACAGTAGTTAGTCATTGAAGTAGCTGGATATGTGTGCCATTCACCTTCATAGGAATCAGAGGGATTGTAAGAATGAACTTGAGAACTGCATTCTTGCCATCCAGGAACTAGGGTTAGGATTGGAATAAGTAATGTGTGTAGCAAGTGCCAGCCAAAGAGAAGGGAATCACTCACTATGCATGAGTCCTGGGGAAGATCAGAGCACTCATAAAAGGCATTTGAGTTAGATCTTAAAGAATTTGTTTACTATATTTAACCATATTGATCTTGAGAACAATTCCTTTGTATTTCTTCCTCAAAAATGAACTAAAGCAGATAAAGTCTTTATAACCTATGTTTTCAAGTATATGAAATTACTATATCATAGTCTGAGACCAAGTGTACAAATATGAAAAGTGGAGATACAAAGCAATTTTCCACTTACTGCAAGTCAGAGCAATATCTGTCTCAATTGTCATGAGATTTTACTTGAACATGACCTCATCTTTTTGTCCTTTCATGTGTGGTCGACCTAGCTTCAAAATCATTGTATAGACAGTACATTTTCCTTATATTGTTGCACAGATCACTGGCAATTTTGCATCATTGAATGCAACATTGTATATCAAAAATTGGCATATATAAATTATATCACTGCACACAGGGCAGACAAATTTGTACACATTGTTTTGCATCTATTTGTATATACCATTGACATTATTGCCTGTTTAATAATAGATTTTGTTAATGCACAGATAATAAGTACATTTCTTTTTTGCTATTCTGCATTTTTTTCCAGTGATGTCTTTTAGAGCTGAGCCTCTGCCCCAGAAAATAATGAAGCTTCAGTAAGAGTCCCTGAGGCAGATGGCATGGAGATGTTATTTGCATCCCTAATTATTTGGTTAATAAACAATAAACTATATTTAGTTACTAGTTAGAAGATTTTCATTTTGTAAATGTACCTCTGACCCTTTTCTTTCTTAAGTGAATGAAACAGTAATAAATAACTAAAGCTGTTTTTTGCACAAAATGCTAGATAGAGACTAGGATTTGAGAATCTATTTTTAAATTCACTTATTGTTACCCACTTAGCTAAAAGCCACTATGTGAGTTAAAGGAATATCCTGCTGTAAACAGTTCCATTTAAATTCTTAACATTTCTACTTTGAATTGTGGATCCTCTCAGCCAGCTTCCCGGGTCCCTTTGAAGCAGGCCTGTGCCAAGATTCCCCACCTCTCATGGGGAACTAAGCAAGTCCATTCTTATTCCCAGCTCATCAGAATACCCTGTCCACTCACTCTGCTGACCCACATAAGCTGATTGCTCCCTGATGTGTGGAGAAGTGATTGTGATAATGTTCACAGGAGGGGATGTGCTAATGCATGAGTGATAACTGGAGCCCGGTAAAACTTACTGAGACAGAATTCTAAGCAGAATTCCACACTCCTTTCCTAGTGTGGTCCACTCTGAGTGCTAGAGTTTTAATACAATCCAAGGATTTCTCCAAGATAATTGTTAATGACTTAATTTTATGAGGATTTTATTTATGTAAACAATCAAATAATTTTTAAGAATGAATGAATATATGTATATATATATATATATATATAGAGAGAGAGAGAGAGAGAGAGACTTGAGTAAGAATATCTGCATAAAATAAATTAAGCCAAGAATAAAATCTAGAATAAATACAGTAACTGCTCTGGAGAAGTCTAATTCTGCTCTACTGGAGATACAATGAGAACCACTAACATGATTAAGGAGATTTTTTTCAATTACAATTCAATTTGCCTTACATAATCTCTGTCGTTCTTATATGTATGCAGCTGGACCCAAGAATTTTCCCTCCTGTTTCAGGGATGTTATTTCCAGGATATAATTAATTAATATATTCATTTTTTACTTTATTCTTATATTCATTTTGTAGATATTGAGTGCCTATTATGTCCAGAGAACCATGCTAGGCAGTGGTTATTAAATAATGAATACAAATAATTTCTTGACTTAAAAACAATGGGCAATCCTAAGAGTTTACTTAGTACTTGTTCAGGGTTTGCTACAAATTCCATGATTTAACTGATTTTCTTATTGATATCCATTCTTTGATCTTCCCTCTAATAGAGGGGCAATTTGGTAACCTATATCACTATTGTATGTTTGAGCTTTGAAGCATTTTGTAGTCTATATACTTACTTTCTGCATCTTCACCGAGTAATATTCCTTGTGATCTGCGTGGACAAGAATGTTTTTACTTTTTTTTTTTTTTATATCAGAGAGAATAACATCTTGAGAATGATGACATTTTCTGGACAATTCCAGTGAATGGGCACTTAGCTAGGGAAGCCAAGAAATTATGCCTAATTAACTATGCTATTTCCAAAATTCTGCAGACTTTTACTAAGAATGCATGCCAGGGATGAAAAAATACAAAGTAAAGCAGTAGATTTGCACCCAGAAAACTGACATAACTTTTCCTTTCTTTGCAACATTGATATTTGCCTTCAACTGATGAAGGCTTCGATCTTGATTTCAATTAGAAATGCAGTGAACAAAGAGATTCTAGGGAATACATACAACATGAAGCTCCTCAGTCTTCCTTACAGGGGAGAACTACACAGCAGCTTCCAAATAGTTGCAAAGACGAACATGACTTCAGTGACTTTGACTAGATTATATTATTTTTATTGCCTTTATTTTTCACACATAAGACTTCATTTCTGTGAATAAAATATATGACATATCTGGTTTTCCATATGGTAAAATCTTTAAAGATTTTTTGTACATTCTCTAAATGAATAAATTGGATTCTCAAGTATAAAAACATCATAAAAATTGCTTATAAAATATTCTAAAAGAAACCCTGAGTAGCTGGCATATAGACGTGCTCTACAAATATTTGCTGAATGAATGAACCAGGAGAGGTATTTATAGTAAATAAGGAAATGACCAGACTCATTAACAATAAAAATTATATACAGTCAAGTGTTACTTAGCTGAAATAACATGGTGTAAATAAATGGTGTAAATAATATGCCCCCTATATTAATAAAACAGATGAAGCAAAACTGAAAATAAGCCAATAAGAAATAAAATCCACTTGATAGTTTTGCTAATGATTGTAACATAATAGCTTGCATTTTAACTTACATTTTAAATAAAGAACGCAGTCCAATCTCTCAAATTATGGAAGTTTTTCTTCTAAAATAATTCTGATAACTAGCTTTCATTTGAATATCTCCAGTAGTGAAGAGCTCATTACTTTTATGGGAATCCATTCTATTGTTGGTAATAGTTATCCTAATGCTTTAAAAATATTACATTGACATCTGACTACCTGCATGTTCCTTTTAGAAAAAGTTTAATTTAGAAAAAGAAAAATACTACTACCTGAGATAACACACAAAGGTGTATTTTCTCTTGGCCACAGTATTTTCAGGACATTAAAAAAATAAGATTATACATCATTTATACTGTTTAGTAAGTGAGCTTTCAAATTACAGGTCATGTAAGTGTTCAAGATGTTCTAATCAGACCTAATTGTCACTATTTTACATTAAACTTGTATACATGTCTAATGTAAAACAATGTGTTTAAAATAATGTAAAATAAGGGTATGTTTGTTTTTACACTCTGGCTCAGGCTAGCCTCTGTGTATATCACTGTGGCTTCTGTGTGGAGCAAGAACTTAATCAAATTTGGATTTGCATTCACATTAGTTTCACCACTATCTAGGCTTTACGTAGTTGTAAGCAACTGTTTAGCTTTTGGGTCTGGCTTTCATTTTTCTTGTCTCTTATAATCTTAGGGTAATATTTGACATTTTAAAAACAAATTAACATCCTTAAATCAAAGATCTTAAAATATAATTGTTGTGAAATTCCCTGAAAATAATTTACATATTTTTTAAATACATGAAACTAAATGACTTGCTGTAAGTCTGTTTCTCACAACTGACACTCTGCTTTTCCTGTGAAGAAATACATAAACAGAAGCCTCAGCTAGACAGATTTTCTTTTGTTTGCCTAATTGCCAGAAGGTTAATGATTTTCATAATGCCATTTATGTCTGGATATTATCAGCACTGTAAAAAAAAAAGTTCTAATAACTTTTGTTAGTGTAGTCTGCAGAACCATTGAAGGAACAAACATATTGTATAAGGAAACTTTTTGTTTTCTCAGCAAAGTGTTTCAAATATGTTAAAATCAGCTCAATATTCAGTATTATTATTTGGTTAAATTCCAGAATGGAAAGAACTTGTAGTAAAATGATTAGGCTATGAACAGACAAATGCAACTGACAATGTTAAGTCGAAAAGTATTTTTTTTTTACTTAATTGAAGCAAAATATTAATTTTAAAAATATGAGTTAGAGCTGAATAATCTGTAGACATAAAAGCACGTATACTTTTAGAATGTGTGATGTTATTGTTGCATCACTGGAAAACCTTACGTGTTTATTCTTTTGAAGAGTGGAAGATGGAATTTAATTTACTCTTTAACTTTCTGTTATAAAGCTTAACCGTCTTTAGTCTCTTCAGAGCAATGTTACGAGATTGAGTTTCCACATCATTCTGGTTATTCTTCTTGAACACCCTTAGTTTTAAAATTATCTTTCTTAAAAGATTGATCTCATAAGATTGAATACCTTGTCCTATGTTTTATAGCTTATAATTTTTCTTTTGTGGACTACCTGTTAAAGTCTTTTACCCATTTTTTATTAGGTTTACTGATTGTTTCTTATTGATTTGTGGGGCTTGTTTATACATTAACAAAAATGAATATTTTTGTTATAGGTTTAGAAATATCTTCTCCCAATCTATAGTTAGCCGTTTAACTCTCTGATTCCTGCCTTTTGATAATCGATGTCTAATTTTACTATAATCGAATTTATATTTTCCTGTTTAGCTAGTACATTTTGAGTCCTGTTTAAAAAATCTTTCCCAACCACAAAAAGATGCTGTATGTTCTCTTCCAGAAACTTTTACAATTTGATCTACACGTTTTGACCTTGATTTTTGAGTATGGTGTGGGGCAGAATCACTTCTAGAACAATTTATTGTGGGGGAAAAGGACGGTGATTTTTGAAAAAGGAAACAAGAAGAGCTTGTGGATTGCTGGCAATGATTTCTTTATAGATCTGGGTGGCTGTTACACTGTTATGTTCATTGTGTGATAATTCCTGATACTAGCTATTTATATGTTTGTAATTTGTTCATTTATATATATATATGTAAAGACTTTATAAAAATGCATGAAAAACATATCTAATAATACATTGTAAATATAATATTCTACTTAGATGTCATAATTTTAACCCTGTATATTATTTCATAAAGTAAGGTTACATAATTCTTTCTAAGCATTAGATACCTTTAATCATGAAATTGATAATGCGTTTCTTCAAAATGAGTAGCTTTGTTTATTGTTGATGTTAAAACAAACTGTACTGGTATAGGTTCAGGTTTCCAGCCAGTGAAAAACATTTACATCATTATTCAGTTTGTTATCCTATTAGGTTTCTTTTCCAGGTTTATATAATTGGCAAATTTCATAAGCATGTCTTTCATGCCTTAGAGAATAAAAATATTAAAAATGACAGTATACAGGATGAAAGCCTGTGGAACATCATTAGAGAGCGCTCTTCAAGCTGACATCACCATTAATCAACGTATTTGGGGCACGATAACTAGCCATTTTTTAATCTACCTAAAACTGTTATCTCCCAGCCCACATTTTACTAGTTTACATTTGCCAGATATTTTGTCAAATGCTTTGCAATAATTAAAATTGAAGATACATCTATGGAATTTATGCTGTTCTATTAAACAAGGACTCAATTTTATAAAAGGAAATCCTTATAACCTACCACTATTGCCTCCTCTATCACCAGACCCCATTCATCTTTTTCCTAAATATTTACAACTCACATGCTAGACTTTAAAGAGGATCTCTCTTGTTATTTTTCCCAGATGTACCAACTTCACTGTTTTTAAAATTTATGGTTTTTATGGTTTTTAGTTTTTGACTATCTTTCTTTTTTTGGCAGCTCCTTTAATAAATATTCAAGAAAGCTAAGATTACATTTATGGATAATGCCAGTCCTTGGGGTTATAATCTGAATTCGAATGCTTCAAAAAGTTAAAGGAACAGGCCAGGCGTGGTGGCTCAGCCTGTAATCTCTGCACTTTGGGAAGCCGAGGTGGGCGGATCATGAGGTCGAGAGATCGAGACCAGCTTAGTCAACATGGTGAAACCGTGTCTCTACTAAAAATACAAAAATTAACTGGGCATGGTGGCATGTGCCTGTAATCCCAGCTACTTGGGAGGCTGAGGCAGGAGAATCGCTTGAACCCAGGAGGCGGAGGTTGCAGTGAGCCAGGATCTCGCCACTGCACTCCAGCCTGGCGACAGAGCAAGACGCCAAAAAAAAAAAAAAAAAAAAAAAAAAAAAGTTAAAGCCACTTTGTCTGTCTTATTATGTCTTAGCTTGTCTGAGGAGGTATTTGTCTATACTCAGTTAGTAGTTTTGCTACTTCTAGAATTATTTGAAACTGTTGTCTTTGTTGGTAGAAATGGGTGACAAACAGTACTATTTTCCTGTCATTAAATAATATCTGATAGTATTATATCTTCTTTCTTCTGTTTTGCTTAAAAAATAGCTTTCAAGCTCTTTTGTTTGAACCTTATTTATATAAGTATTAATTTATCGATATTTTAGGAATGATTGGGCCACTGCCAATTTTCCTACTCTAGTTTATAACAGATGTTGATTAATGGATATAGCCCTCTTCCCTGGCTACTCTAATCAACAAATATCTGCACTTGGTTGAAGCCTGTTTATCCACTTCTCATAGATCACATGACCTCCTTGCAGATGTTTATCCCCCACTGCAAATAAAATCTGAGCTCATTAACGAGTTCATTTTAGCACTTATTAAGATGCCTGTTACTGTTTTTGTATCAATTAGATAATTCTCCATTATAGGCTTAAACTCATGTTACATATTATTTTCAATGTTCAGAAGGTCTTAAAATTCATGGTGTCATGTCTTTTTTAGTTTTGAATAAAAATTAGTTTTTCAAATGTTTATATTCTGTGCATTGGTCTTAGTCTAGAACTTCTCTTAGACTTACCCTAGAAACTTCCAATTTATCCCCAATATCTTTTAACTACTGCAAATTTTAACAGGTTTACTGATGTATAATTGATATACATTAACATATATATTTATATAAAGTATAATTTATATATAGTGGTAAATTTTATATATGTACATATTAATATATATCAATATACATTATACTATGTTTAGATATTTAATCTAATATATTAATATTAACTTCAATATATTTATTATATATTATATTTTATATATTATAAATTTATATGAATATATACACTGTATAATTTATAAATATGTACGTGTGTGTGTATATATATATATGTCAACATGGAAATATTACCTTTTAGCTCACTAATTATTTCTTTTCAGGCTGGAGTACAGTGGTGCAATCTCAGCTCACTGCAACCTCTGCCTCCTGGGTTCAAGCGATTCTCCTGCCTCAGCCTCCCTACTAGCTGGGATTACGGGCACCCGCCACCACGCCTGGCAAATTTTTGTATATTTTTTTAGTAGAGATGGGGTTGCACCATGTTAGGCTGATCTCGAACTCTTGACCTCAAGTGATCCACCCGCCTCGGCCTCCCAAACTGCTGGGATTACAGGTGTGAGCTACCATGCCCAGCTTAGCTCACTAATTATTTCTTAGATTATATATAATTGGTAGCCTTTCCTCAGATGAGTTTATTTTCCTATCAACCAACTTTTGCATTTCTAAAACTACTTCATAGTTTCTTTTAGTATCCATCTATAAATGTTTTATTTTTCCCTGTTGTAACTGATAATTACTGCTATTTTTAATGAATAGCATTACCTATTTTATATTTTTGAGAGGATAAAGCCTATTTATCTCCACTAGCCCTCAATTGCTATTACTTATGGAACTAATTGGTGTTGAACTTTTGACTTTGTTGACTTCGTGGCATTGGATTTCATTCCTGTCATTTGAAATTTTCATTTGCATGTTCTTCTTGACAGCCAGTCTCTCTCTTTCTGGTCTCTCTTTCTCTTTCTTCTCTCTTCCTATCTCCTCTCATCTCCCCTGTTTTTTGTGCTTTATCATTTTGGGACTTTCTCTACTCAAGTCCCAGAATGTCCAGTCTGAAAGTGTACCTTACATTACTCGCCCGATGCCTGTGCCTGGCAGTGTTTTTAGGGAATCATGTGTCTAGTCACCAAGCCAGTGAATGCCTTTACTCAGCTCAGATATGCCTATTTGCTAACCTCTTTGGGCATACAGCCTCATATAATCCATATGTTTAAGTGAGTAATCAGCTTTCTTCAGTCTCTTTTCACAACCAGGTTAGCCGAGGGCCAGTCTCGGTTTGCAACCTTAAAGCAAGCTTTCTGTAGCTGATACACACAGGGAACTTACATTACCAATATTCCGTAGTAGTCAAATGCCCAAATGCCTTTGTATGTCCCCAGATCCGGACTCTGTCTGGCCTCGGCTTCAGCCCCACTCATTGCTTTGCATGTTTGTTGCATTTCTTGTGCATAGAGATGTTTATCTTATTTTTTGATCCTGGCTATGTCTTTTCAATTTTCTTCTTATCTATCTTATCTAAAAATACAGTGTATTTGAAGCAGAAGGGGGTCTCAAAGCCTGAACTCATAATGCAATTTTGCCTGGAGTCTCCTTTTCAATTTATTTTTTTCAGCTGATACTTATTTCTCAGCCAGTTATTAAAGGTAGTTCTAACCCTAATTGAATTTTTTTTTCACCTTGTATTTTTGCTAAATTAGAATCCAGGCATATAGTCTCTGGTGGTGTTAAAACCACCAACTTGAGTGCCGCGTTTCTTCAGGAGCCATTTATCACTACAACAGAAACTCCATGGCCTCTCTAAACCACCCACTAAATTCCTCTTTTGTCTGACTTACTGAATTACAAATTACAAAGCAAAAATAACTCATATTAGTCCAGAGTACTAGTTTCTTCAATTATTCAGATTCTCTATTGTAATGGATCACTCTAGGAGCCCACATAGAATGGACACGTAGAATACAAACACTGTATATCTTTACAGCATACGTGTGCTCACACCATATACTACACACACGCAAATACACAGGGGGAGGAATATCTGTGTATGTGTGAGAATAAAGAGAAGAGTGAGGAAGGAAAGACAGATGGAGGATGGGAGGGGTGGGAAAGGGAAGAGAGAGCACAGAAGAAGAGAGAGAAGGGGAATGAAGAAACAGCATTCTTATTGTTTCGAGACTAGCAAGAGTTCCATAACAAGTATACATCTTTCAAGTTACTTCAACAATACACTAGTTATTTGCTAGATGTTTTAGGCACTATTATCTCTAGGCAAGTGTTCTTCTTAGGAACTAAGAGTTTATGACTGTTCAGCATCTCCACTTCTTCTAACTCCTCTTTGACGTCCAACCACTTTCTTTGAGCTGCTACAATACATTGGGAACTTTTTTGCCCTCTTATATACCACATTCCAGAGGTGGTTGTGATGAAAGAGGTATCATTATTAATCCTCGGATCAATAGAGGTTACACATTTCACAAGCCAAGTAAACAAAGTAATAAACTTCCCCGAATTGCATTGCTTGATAGACCAAAGAGAAAAAGGGAACTTTTCATCGATCTTTCCACCATGTTCCTCATGAAAGACTGACTTTTGCCCTCCCCTTGAGGTTAATCACTACAGTATTCTCTCCACATATATTTCTGCTAAGAAATACATTTTGACTTATATTTCTTCTGATTTTAGATTTTTGCTTTCCTTAAAGTTAACAATAAATTCTATTTTGCTAAAAGTAATGAGATAAATGGGATTAAGCAGCTGTATGTTAGTTGCTTGCTTGCTGAAAGACTGGAATGCAGCAAACAATAAGTAACTGAAGAAAATTTATTCTGGAGCATTCATTAGCAAAACAGAGGAAATAGTCTAAGTTTCACCAATCAATCAGACATTTTCTCACCTGTTACCTCATTGTATTAATTGCTCGTTGACTTGAGTTCACTCAATCACTCTGTTGCTTTTGGTAATACATAGAACTCTGTATGAAATTGGCTATAAAATTTCTTCAAGGTTTCGAACTGTATATCTAACAGGTAAGAAAATATATTTGTTACCCCACAATAACTGAGTATATTGTTGTCCCCAAAATTAACCTACAGCTCTTTCAAAATTTTATGGAATTCTAGGTAAAATAGGAAGATGAATGATATATGACAATAAGGAATATTATATATTAACACTACAATAGGAAAAAAATAACATATAAAAAACACACTACAAAGCAGGTATAAGTAACTCATTGTTAGTAAACAGATTATCAGGAAGTGGTCCCAAGAGGTACTGCAGACTAGAATCTCCAGGATACACATCCTGAGATGAAAAATAGCATCTAGGAAGTTAATTAGGAGTGTTTTGGGGATGAAAACCTGTGGAAGAGAAAGGAATGAAACAGAAATTAGTTACAGGGAGGAGTTTAGGTGAAATGCAGTTTCAATGAAGTCTTTGACCAATCCCTGCAGGGAGCTCTGAGACTGTGAAGACACCTCAGAGTTTCTACAGGTTGGGGCAGGGTACTGGCTTTTTATAGCCCCAGGTTGACCAGTCGTTGCAGTTGCACAACCCCATGAAGGTATACCATCTACATGTGCCTCTTTTTAACCCAGGAAATTCCTGAAGAGGAATTACAGCTAAGTACTGTATCATAGAAAAAATATTCTTGTAAAAGTGTGAATTATATGATAATAGAAACTGAGAAGTAGTTACATCGTTTGCACATATATTCCATAGATAGCACCCATATAACCTATGCAAACACATACACTAGATACTTAAATTTTTCCAAATGTTTTGTGAGATATGATTTCGATATAGTGAAAGGTACAGATTTTAAATTTGTATTTTTTTTTAAGAGATTAATCTTGGGCAGGGATCAACAAACTTCAACCCTCTGTCCAGCTACAAGCTTTTGTTAATAACACTTCATTATAACATGGCCATACTCTTTTGTGTATGTACTGCTCTTCATACTATAATAGAATTTGGCAGTTTTAACAGAGGTAGTATGGTCTACAAAGCCAAAAATACATAGTATTTAACCTTTTACAGAAAATGTTTGCTGACCCTTGATCTAGGGTTTGCTATTTTCAAGTAATACCACCTCATATGTAAAGTTAAGACCACAGCATAACATATTTCCTGTCCAGACTCCTATCCTTTGTACTATTGTAGTTGCATATCTGACTTCCACATTTATTATAAACCCTGTTATTCATCATTACTGTTTGTAAGCACTAAATTATCTTTTAATGAAATTTAAAAACATGAACAAATATTTTATATGTACTTAACATGTTTAGCATTTTAAGCACTCATTTCGTCATGTAAATATGAGTTTCAAAATGGTAAACTTCCCTTAAGGTGAAAAACTTATATTTTTATAGTATACACATAAAAGTGATGAATTCTCCCAGCTTTTGTCTTGAATATTACGTTATTTTTATATTTAAAATATATTTTTGCTGGACATAGAATTTCAGGTTGCCAGCTTTTTTTTTATCTTTCCTTTTCATCATGTCTGTTAGGTTGTTTCATTGTCATTTGGCTTGCATTATTTCTGCTGAGAAGTTGTAACCCTCTGAATACCTTTAAGATTTTCTCTTTAGCATCGTCTTTCAGCAAATAATTATAATGTGCCTTATTGTATTTTCCCTTGTATATCTCCTGCCTGGAATTCAATAAACTTCTCACATATCTGAGTTTATATATTTCAACCATTATTTCTTCAAACATATTTTATTCTGACCCAATCTCTGTCATCTCTGCTTGTAGTACTCCACTTGCATGATTGTTAGGGCAGTTATCAATGTCTCACAACTTACTGGAATAACTGTTTATTTTTTAAGCCTTGTTTTTCCTCTCTGAGCTTAATTTAGATGCCTTATATGGCCCTACATTCTAGTACAATGATGTTTTCTTCTGTGTCTCATCTGCTGTTAAGCCCATCCATTAAATTTTCTATTTCAGATGTAATTCTTACTCCTAAAATTTCCATTTTGTTCTCGTTTGTTGCTTTTCTCCTTCAACATTTTGCATTTTTAAAAAATGTTTATATGTTTTATTTTAGATAATAGAATTAATAATTACTGTTTTTAAAGTCCTGGTCTGCTAATTTCATCATTTCTGTTATTTTGGGGATACATTTCCATTGATTTTTTTCTCTCTGGTTCTAAGACATATTTTCCTGCTTGTCCAAATGTCTAGTATATTTTTCAGTTGATATACTTGACATTATGGATGCAATGTTGTTCAGTTTCTAAATGTTTATGACTTTCCTTAATGGAGTGTCAAGTTTTGTTCCATCAAAAAATTAATTTTTGGTCAGATTTATCTTTTTCAGTAACCTTTGCTCAGGTGTGTCCAGACTAGCCCTCATATTAGGACTAAAATATCCCTACATATAATGCATGACTTTTATGGGATGTCTACTGAATGCCTGGAGGGATTCAACAAGGTCTCTCAATTTTGTCTAGTCTGAAATCAAATTTTTCCCAGCTCTGTGCAACCTCTGGTTATTGTTGACTTCAGAACTCCCTTTACCTGGTCTTGTGCAGTCTTGATCTAAAAGTGCACAGCATGGTGTTTCTTCTGAGTCCAGATTGCAGAGACACATTCATGACTCCCTTGTAGATTTCTAAAGCACTTTACACAGCTGTGCCCTCTCTGGGACTCTGTCCTGTTAATTCCAGCTTCTTTAGTAGCTTTGAATTGTAATATGTTTCCGTTTCAATGACACTACTGCACTGCTGAACTCTGTTTGGGATCATCTTCCATATGCCATGATCCAGAAAGTGAAGCTAGCAGAAAGCCAGGAAGTTGGCAGGGCTCACCTTATTTGTTTATCTTATTTTATGGATCACGTACTGCACTGCCCATTGTCCAGTCCCTAAAACAGTGATTTTTTAAAATTTTATTTTATTTTATTTTTTGAGATGGAGTCCCACTCTGTCACTCAAACTGGAGTGCAATGGCACCATCTTGGCTCACTGCAACCTCTGCCTCCCAGGTTCAAGCAATTCTCCTGCCTCAGCCTTCCCAGTAGCTGGGATTACAGGCACCTGCCACCACGCCTGGCTAATTTTTGTATTTTTAGAGGAAATGGGGTTTCAGCATGTTGGCCAGGCTGATCTCCAACTACTGACCTCAGGTGATCCACCTGCCTTGGTCTCCCAAAGTGCTGGGATTACAGGCGTGAGCCACTGAGCCCAGTCAGTTATTTTATATATTTTTTAGTTTTGTAATTTTAAAAAAAGCTATTCTATCATAGTTTTAAGCAAAAATAGGCCATGTAACCATTATTATTTGAATATCTGTGATGATTTATGAAATGATTATTATGAACGTCCTCATAGAATAAATTATTTTGCCAGCCTTTAAATTCCTTATTTAAAAAATAGTACACACGTTTTGATATACTGTACATTGGATAATCTATTGAATATTTTTATATCATTCTCTTTAGTAGCTGAACTCACTGTAAAAATTATAGTGCCTCTTAGCACTAACATTATGCCATATTTTCTGTAACTTATTTTGTGTACAACCCTAGTTATTTTAAATATTACTGTAAATTAAGAATATTGATCTATATGAGTGCCATTTTTCTAACAAATGTTTTTACATTCTTACTATTTGCTGAGCAATTCTTATATTTTGCCAAAAGAGATTTAACTTTGTTTAGTATCTAATTTTTCTAGAAATATGACTTACAAGAGGTATTGACTGTATATCTTCTAAGTGTTAAATAAACATTCTTCCTGATTTCCTATATACTTCCCTGTACCTCTCAGTGGTACAGGAAATTAATGTAAGATTAGGTTCATTTTAAGAATTGCAAATATTTTTCTACTTTACTTCACAAGAAAAATATATTTTAGAATTGTGTATAATTGCTTGTTTTTAATTTATAATTTATTAAATGATAAAGTTTACATGACAGAAAAAATTGGATAGTTACATACATTTTTCTCATGATTTTAGCTGAAGAGTTTATGGTAAATTGGTCAACCCTCAGCCAATTAGACTTTGACATGTACTAATAAGATCTAATTGAGGAATTATGAAGACATTTGCTCAGGAGAAAATGAGCACATAATTACACCATAAAGAGGTTAAAGAATCAATGTTACCAGCTGGAAGAATATTAGTTGAAGTCCCAATGGCATCTATAAAGGATATTTCATAATATATCTGTGAAATAGAGCACTGCCAAGACCAATTAAGATATGTAGAATATTCCATTGTCAGTTGTACAAGTTCAAATTTAAATATTCATTTTCCCATCTTACCTCTGCCCATCTTCAGGTGCTGGGGGATGGTCTCCATCAGACAGCGACCATTATCAATGGCTTCAGGTTGACTTTGGCAATCGGAAGCAGATCAGTGCCATTGCAACCCAAGGAAGGTATAGCAGCTCAGATTGGGTGACCCAATACCGGATGCTCTACAGCGACACAGGGAGAAACTGGAAACCCTATCATCAAGATGGGAATATCTGGGTAAGTCATTGGCAGGAAAGCAAAGACACAGAATTGGATTGGAAATATTAGAAAATGGTACAGGATTTACTAAGCATATATAGTTATCAATATTTATGTATTCAAATCATTGGGAAACTATTTATTCATCATTGTTGATGGAAGAAAGTTTCTTCAGGCTGTAATTTCTATCCAATGGTTAAAGCAATGATTCTAGATCTGGACTATGAATTTGAATCACCTGAGGAAGTTTTAAAGCACGTAGATGAAAGGCAAACCCGGATCAATAAGACCAGAATCACGTAAGTTGAAATAGTGATTAATGATACTGATAACTTTTCTGAAGACAGCGATCTTCAATTGAAGGAAAATATTGAAATTATGAAGAATATAATTTAGAGAAGTAAGAGCAGTGATAGATGTTAAGAAAAGAACTTGTCCATTTTATAATAGTGTCTTAAACACTTATTACAGATCTATGTTCACTTTATTCCTTTATTATGAAAGAAGAGAATAAAGCTTAACCCATTTGTTCTTAAAATGTCTCTATTAACTTAAAAAGTTGTATATATTCAATCAAATATTCACCACATAATAATTTGAATAAATTATTTAACAGTAAAATTTAAGTGTTCTACTTTGTTTAATTATTTTAAAAAGCAGGCATGACCAAAATCAAGTGCTGTCATCAATATTAAACCAGAAGAAGAAGAAGAAAAAGAAGATGAGGAGGAGGAAAGGGAGAGGATGAAAGGGAAGGGGGAAAAGAAGGAAGAGGAAAGGGTTCACTTTTAAAATCATGTCCTTCACAGTATTAGTTGGAGTGCTGGATATTTTTAACTTTATCATGAATCACTCTTGTAGACTTTGTATTTTAAAAGTCCCCAATTATTTTTTCTAAGTAACAAGAGTTTATAATTTCTAGCTAAAGTGGATGTTCATTTCTACAGCAGTATGTGAAATAAGGATATAATGTCCTGATAATAAAAAATGTGTCTACTTAAGTAGAACTTTAGAAATAACTCCTTTCAAGTCATAATTATATGGAAAGAATATTTGTGTATTAGGATGTATAAGTTACGGAAAGCAAGTAGTGGGAAAAATGCCTCTTTCTAAAATGTCTTCATCTCGCAATTGAGATAATTCAAATCCTCAGGCATAATTTATAGAAAAGTGCTTATCAAGCCTGAATACACAGTAGAATTAGCTAGAGAACTTTAAAACATATAGACCCTTGTGTCCCAACCCCAGAGACTTGAATTTAGTTGGTCTAAGGTGCAGCCTGGGCTTTGGGATTTTAAAGCTCCGATGGTGATGCTAATGTACAGTGAACACCGAATACATAGTTTAGATTGGTTTTCAGTCTACAGTTAAGAAGGGGATAGAGGAAGTATATGCTGAAAATGAAGAGGAGAACAGAAAATTTGAAAGAGTTGCCCTTAAAATTTGGCAGAGAGAGAGAGGGGAAGACGGAGGAGTAAGGGGGTTGGGTGGGGGGAAGGGGAGGGAGAAATCAAGTGGCCAACCAACCAAACAGCAGACCAAACAACTGAGAGTAAACAGTGAAGGCTTGGATCACAGACCCTTCTAACACCCAGAGCACTCATTATTTTCTAACTTTCTATGGTTTCTAAACTAAGATCAAATGAGCATGTTGGTAAAATTGCTTGAGGGGTTTACTTTCTGTGATTTCTAAACTAAGATCAAATTAGCATGTTGGTAAAATTACTTGAGGGGTTACAAGTCAGACTCTGAAATACTGTTCTCTATATCAGAACAGAAATACTGTTCACATTTTTGTATTTGTAAAGTCTTCATCTCAAAATTAAGAGTGTTCAAATCTCCTCTCCTCTCATAATGTGCCAAGATAGTAATAAAGATAGCTGCTAAAATACTTGAACTTTAATGTATCTGTCAAATACTGAACAGTTAAGGACGGCTAAATGCAGAGACATAAGGAAAAAAGGCTAAGGAGGATAAAATTGTTCAGCTTGTCTTGGAGTCTTTTTTTTTTTTGAGACGGAATTTTGCTCTTGTTGCCCAGGCTGGAATGCAGTGGTGTGATCTTGGCTCACTGCAACCTCCGCCTCCTGGATTCAAGCCATTCTCCTGCCTCAGCCTCCCGAGTAGCTGGGATTGCAGGCATCCACCACCATGCCTGGCTAATTTTTTTTTGTATTTTTAGTAGAGACAGGGTTTCACCAGGTTGGTCAGTCTGCTCTTGAATTCCTGACCTCAGGTGATCTACTTGCCTTGGCCTCTCAAAGTGCTGGGATTCCAGGCGTGAGCCACTGCACCTGGCCTTGGACTCTTGATATTACATAGAATAATAATGGTTGAGTCGGGGAGACAAGGATGTCATGTAGTGAAAACATCACAAATTATGAAGATATGCTGGGTCTACTTATAGGGCTCTCCATCTTAAGGTGATAAAGGTGCATTTCTATTGTCTTCTCCCTTTCTGGTGTTCACTTTGTTTCTTCCTTTCAAATATTGTGTTTCTTATTAAAAATCAGTATGCTACGTGATGAGTGATTATTAGTAGTGAGCTCATTATAAAATTTTAAAAATCAAAACAAGTTGGAGACTATGTTAGTCTGTTCTTGCACTGCTGTTAAGAAATACCTGAGACTGGGTAATTTACGAAGAAAAGAGTTTTGATTGACTCACGTTTCCACAGGCTGTATAGGAAGCATGGCTTTGGAGGCCTCAAGAAACTTACTATCATGGCAGAAGGCAAAGGGGAGGCAGGCATGTCTTACATGCCGGGAGCAGGAGGAAGAAAGAGACGGGGGTGTCACATACTTTTTTATTTTTTCTGAGACGGAGTCTCGCTCTTTCGCCCAGGCTGGAGTGCAGTGACGCGATCTCGGCTCACTGCAAGCTCCGCCTCCCGGTTTCACGCCATTCTCCTGCCTCAGCCTCCCAAGTAGCTGGGACCACAGGCGCCCGCCACCACGCCCGGCTAATTTTTTGTATTTTTAGTAGAGACGGGGTTTCACCGAGTTAGCCAGGATGGTCTCCATCTCCTGACCTTGTGATCTGCCTGCCTCGGCCTCCCAAAGTGCTGGGATTACAGGCACGAGCCACCACGCCCGGCCTGTCCCACACTTTTTTTTTTTTTTTTTTTTTTTTTTTTTGAGACGGAGTCTCGCTCTGTCGCCCAGGCCGGACTGCGGACTGCAGTGGCGCAATCTCGGCTCACTGCAAGCTCCGCTTCCCAGGTTCACGCCATTCTCCTGCCTCAGCCTCCCCAGTAGCTGGGACTACAGGCGCCCGCCACCGCGCCCAGCTAATTTTTTGTATTTTTAGTAGAGACGGGGTTTCACCTTGTTAGCCAGGATGGTCTCGATCTCCTGACCTCATGATCCACCCGCCTCGGCCTCCCAAAGTGCTGGGATTACAGGCGTGAGCCACCGCGCCCGGCCCTGTCCCACACTTTTAAACAACCAGATCTCCTGGGATTTCACTCACTGTCAGGAGATCAACAAGCGGGAAGTCCACCCCCGTGATCCAATCACCTACTATCAGGCCCCTCTTCCAACACTGGGGATTACAATTTGACATGAGATTTTGGTGGGGACACAGACCCAAACCATATCAGAGACACAATCTAAATATTGCAAAATATATTTAAGTACCAGTAAGCCTGCCACATAATGATTACATTATTTAATAATCTGTGACAGAAATGTTTTAATCCTTACTAATACAAAAAAAAAAAAAAAAGAGTCCAATCCTTTGACGTATTCTAAAAGAGTTAAAGTTCGTTGACTTCTAAAAATTCTTGAATATTTTAGGGCTACGTCTTATCATTCATTAAGTGATTAAAATTTAGCATTTACAAATTTCAAAAAAAAGTACTCTTGGGGATTAAGTTTATTAAAAATGATATTAAATACTAGAGTTTTTTAATCCACTACTGCTTAACATTATGTATACTGGACTTGAAGAGAATTCTGATATAGAGAAGATTGGATGGCTTTTTGATGGAAAACACCTTACAAGATGTAAAAATTTATGTATTTTTGAAATTGTTTTTACTATCCATTTTATAATGATTGTTTACCTGAGAAATATAGAAGATAATGTATATTGAATCACATGAATATAATTTTAAACAAATGTCCATGGTTATGTTTTTCTGATTGTTGGGGAAATGGACAACATAAGTAATTTTTTATAGTATTCTTATTAAATGTTCATATGGACATTCCGAGTTATTTTATCACTGTTGGATAATATATTAAAATAAGCAAAGAACAAGTCATATATAAGCAAATTATGACAGTTTCACAAGGTTTTAGAGTCATGAATCTTGCATTAGGGAGTGAGAATGGCTCCTGAAAAGATTCCTAAAGAATGGTTTATCTGAATATTTAATATTCAAAGATCTGAGTTTCTAAATGGGCTTAACTAGTCAAACCTTCCATTCCTCTTTGATGATACTGAGCATAATAGAATTCTTTATATTTTACAATATAATTTCCTTCTATTTAGAACCTCTTTTCCAATGTAATAGGTAAATAAAATTGCCCAAAAAATCATTACATCTACATACTCCACCAACTCTAATTTGCATGATTATCTTGAGATGTTTTCAAGTTTCCTAAGTATAATCTGTTAGAGAGAGAGAGAGGAAGTATTCTGTATAAGCATTTTGTATCAGAAGTCCATTAAACATTATATTAAATAAGAATTCCAGCAGGCTTTTGCTAAGAGGCCTGTTTTGCTTGGGAAATTCAATTACTGGATTTTGAATGCAGATATTCGGAGCCAAAATAGGAAACTGGAGTAAAAGCAGTGGATGCCTTCTTTACACACCACTATTATTTTGTAGGATAGGAACATACTACAAATTTACCAGTCATATGAGCGCAGTTTTTGTTTTTCTTTAAAAAACACTTCCTAATCATGAAAACATGCTTGTATATTCTCAGTTATTTTTAAAAACAGTTTTGATCCATTTTGTTAATTTTAAGTAGGTGTTAGACTGAAATTTGTTACCACTGCATCTATTAAATGGAGAATTCTACAGAACACAGCTGTTTTATCATATTTAAATTATATGGTTAGATACTTATCAAGAATATAGGGATAAACAAATTCATATTATCTAAGAAGTATTAAATAGATTACTTATTTTCAAAACCTAGATCTCCTTGTCACATATACGCTTTTCCCATGTACAAATGCATACACATAATTGTTTCAATAAATTTAAAACATTTCAAAAATCTAGAAGACAAATACAATAGTTGGCAGTTTCATTTATGAAACATTTGGATTTTCTGAATAGCAAGGCATAAGCTGGACCACGTATTCCCTACTTTCTTTTTAATTACATATTCCATCAACCAGTATTTATAAAATAAAAGTTCTCAAAAACATCCTTTTGAGTTAGCCTGTAATTAGCCATCAGGCAAGTGAAAGCCAAGATATGGAGTCGAAAGGTCTGAATTCATGTATCTTGTTTCATTTGTTTGTTTTATAAACTTGGAGATCTGACTTTATTTCTCTGTTCCTGAAATCCTAATCTGAGAAGTAGATATAATTCCTATTGGGATATTTAAGTGAGATTATGTAAGTAAAGAAATTTTTCAAGCTATTAAGATTAGAAACATGTGTGTCATCAATTCCCAATTTTAGAAGCATTCTCCAAATCTAGTGTAGTATGTTTTTTCAGTGACAATAGTCAGTAATGACAATTTTCAGAATTTTTAGTCACCCTCTATGTTTTTCAGATTCCCTTTACCTCTTTTTACTCTTATTCATGATTGAAAATATCTGACAATATTTTAGATTAAGGAAATGTTACTTAAAGTTGGAGGTAGAATGTATGCAAATCTCTGTCATAATTTTCGATTAACACATGGTAAATACATGTTTAGATAGTGCAGTGCAGGCTGGGTCAGTGAGGCATGACAGGTAGACCTAGCTCTGTGCCAGGTGCCATTGCAGTGCTTGTAACAAATTATCTGTTACCATCATGATGGCCTTGTGTCCAATGAGCCATTTAAGGGGACACTGTTTAGAAATGAATGGATTGTTCTGTCCTTTCTTTTCAGCCATTTGTTATAGTGGTTGCACTAATTTTCCAAATCACTTAAAAATCTGTTCCCAGTATAAATATAAAATATAAATGCCATTCTGTTACAGTTCAATGGTGTACTTAGATTCTTTCAAAATATCTAGAATTTTGTCTGCATGCGAAAGTCAGGATGACAACCATCCTGTCGCCTGCCCCTACATCTTCCATCGGATAATAACTTCTACTTCACTTAGGACATGAATGTGATTCTTTTCCCCAAAAGATGAGTATTACCCTTGCTTCTTTATGTAAACATCTACATTCCTGCTGCCATCAGTTATTTGGGTAAAGGATCAGGCAGACATATTCATAATAATTTTATAGATAGCTTATTGAGAAATAAAACACATCAGAATAATCTGCATCAAACAAACACTTTCTAAAATTATCTTTGATATAAATGGGGTAAAAATCTTCAGAACTTGTATAGAAAAAAAAACAATTTCCAAGGCGATTTCAGAATAAGCTCCTTATTTCTGTGAAATAGATTTTTCTGTTTATACTCCTCTTAGGCTGGATAATATTTTTAAAGTCTCATGAATTTTAATAAGTTGAGTGGATATTCCAGATCCTTTTGCATATACTGTAATGCATCTACTAGTGAATTTTGATCACCTTTCTAAATACACATTTGTATGGTGAGATTCTCATTTTCAAAGGTCATGAGGTTTCTTGGGACAATTTCTGAGACTCAATATTGTACATAAATAGAACTGTTCTAACAAATATGGTTATGTGTTTAATATTTTTCTAAAATTTGGAAGATAAAAATAAGATGCTGTTGATAATATTGAATATATTATTGGCATATATTATGAGATAAAGGAAAATGTTATAATCTCATAAGATTTCTTACAGGCTGTAAAATAACAGTATATAGTTCTTCACAGTATAATGTATTTTTCATCTATGAGATAAAATAGGATATATGTAATTATTCTTCTAATGTTTAAAGTATCCATGAAACAAGATTTGTTATCAATTATACTAATATTTTCAGGTGTTTTATTTTACATTGAACTCAATGCTAATTTTTTTTACGTTGAACTCAATGCTAATTTTTTTTACATTGAACTCAATGCTAATTTTTTTTATCGTGTCAAGGTTGGATTTAGGTTACCTGAGGCTAAATAACTCCAAGTAAATACATAGTTATATAATGTGTTGATAAATGGGTACCTACAAATAATTTGAATAAGATATCAGTTCCTTCTTTTAAGATGTATGTTTCTACTCTGCTCAAGTGGTAACTTAGAGGAATACTAGTATGCTTATTTTGGGAAATTTAGGGCACAGTAAATCATGCTTCTTATGTGCCTGGAGACGCCTGAGAGGCCGTGGAATGAGTAATTCTATGTTACACTCTGGAATCAGACCACCTAGGCAGATTATACAATTTTGGTAACATAGATCTGTGTATCTTCACGCAGATTCTTTAAGCTTTCTGTGCCTAAAGTTCCCAACCTGTAAAATGGGTCTAGTCACTTACCTGAATAGTATTTACCTCAATGGAGGTTGTAGGTATTAAGAGAAAAAGTCAAACAAAGGGTTTAGAGCAATGTCTGGAACATATTAATCACTCAATTATTTTATACATTTGTGATTTCTAGGTGCATTAACATAGTATATTGGCTCTTTTCTTGAAAATTTAAAATAGCCTGTTACTTCCACTTTATAATAACGTTTTTCTATTAGTGTATTGGTGTGTGTACTGTATTACATACATCTGTGTTTCCCAGCCTGGAATGACAAATGACTCATTTGGAAGTATAATTGAGAATGCTAATTTATGCCATTCAAATCTTGGGCCTACTTATTATCACATCGAGTCCTATGCCTTGTCATATGAATTGTGCCTGGAAAGTTTTTTCAGATATATATTTTTTAATGAAACTTCAGTGAAAATATGACTAGGATGTTTTCATTAGACTTAGTTTAATAAATTCACTTGATAAAGTGCGTTAACTTCGGAAAGAAATAACCCATTTTTGTCTACAGTACTTCTCTGTGTCTTCTTAGGCCAACTGAAAAGGGTAGGATAAGAAGACTTGAAAATAGGCTTATAAGTATTAACTAAAACAGTTTATGCTGGTTAGCCATGAAAGGACAAATCAGCTGCACCAGGAACATCCAGGAGCTTGTCAGAGATGTAGAATCTCAGAGGCTTAACCCAGATCTACTGATCAGAATCTACAGTTTAGGAAGACTCACAAGTGATTCATATATACCTCCAAGATAGAGTGTGTTGCTTTTGATATTTGAAGAACTCTCACGAGAAAGAGGAATAAGCATCAGCATTTGTGTTTCCAAACCAGAAGGTAGAATTAGAATAACTGGAATTTACAGTGCAAATTGCAGACAGATTTATCGTGAAAAAAGAGTGAGCTTTGATAAATAGGCACTCACTGAGCACCTACTACTTATTGAGGCTAGGGATAAACAGACCAAAACACAAGCATAATTGCTGTCTTCTAGGGGTCAATAAACTGGTGATAAGGCTAAACATATACAATTATAAGTATATTGTATGACTGTTCAAATAGAGAGGTGCTTGCCTAGGTTGTTTTGGGAACACTAGGAAAGTGGTCTTATTCAGAGTGGTTGGGTCCAGCAAAGGCTTCTTTGGAGCTACCTACTATTGGCTAAATAGGTAAGGAGTTGGTCACTCAGAGAAGAGGGGCAGGAAGTCATTCCAAGCAGATGAATCTTCTGCTGAAATAGGTAGGAATGGAGAGTGGGATTCTATAAATAACTGCGTTTTTCCTGACTTTCTGACATGCAACAAAATAAAAAGCTGACCTTTATCTATTTATTTAGAGACAGAATCTCGCTCTGTTGCCCAGGCTTGAGTGCAGTAGAGCGATTTCAGCTCATTGCAACCTCTGCCTCCCAAGTTCAAGGGATTCTCCTGCTTCAGCCTCTCGAGTAGCTGGGATAACAGGCATGCACCACCATCCCATGCTAATGATTGTATTTTTAGTAGAGACGTAGAGACGGGGTTTCGCCATGTTGGCCAGGCTGGCCTTGAACTCCTGGCCTCAAGTGATACACCCACCTAGGCCTCCCAAAGTGCTGGGATTATAGGGGTGAGCCACTGCACCCAGCAAAAAGCTGACTTTTTAAAATAAAAAAAACTCTGAAATTATATCCTGTGAATCAGTAATGCTTAATTTATATAATGTAAATATCTAATTTTGGAAGAACCTTGGAGTTTATGCAGTCGCCTAGGGCACATTTTTATCTCTGTGCCATTCATCATATAGAGCTCACTGCAGAGCACAAAACAGATGTTTATGAGTTTACAACTGAACTGAAGTATCTCATTCTGTAGATGAATAAGCTGAGGCTGAGAACCATGATGTCCCTTAAACTGGAACCTTGAATCCAGGTATACTGACCTCACTACTGAATATGGAGCCAAATACTTATTTTGGTTCAGCAAGAAGTTCCATTACTATAATGAACCCCTGCTCATTTTGAGTAATTGAAAATACTATTGAATACATACACGATATTTATAGAACAAGATAGCATGGGCTCTGGACCGGACCTCAAATATCTGAACTCTGCTCCAACACTTTCTCGTGGTGTGTATTTAACTATGTTAATCAACCTACTATGGGTCTTAGTTGCCTTAGGTGTAAAAGCGATATAATTGTATTTACCTTATGCGATTTTTGTGAGAAATAAATTAATCAAAAATAAATTGTTTAGAACAATGCCCCATAAATATAGTCTCTTCTTATCGTCCTCTTGTTTCACTTTCTCCTATTTATCAGTATTATTACGAATGCTATCATTAATGTTTCTCAAATACTATATTCAAAGTGATATAAAGAATGCAAGTAAGTAGTTAATAGTAGGTCTAGCCTTGAGAATAATATATTTTAATTGGAAGGACAGCAAAAATCACTACAATAACTTTAAACAAAAGCCCGGGTCATCTTGCACAGCTTTCAGGATGCTTATGCCCCTGGACACCGTGAAGATACCCATTCTATGTGTTTCACTTATGCATACTGTTTTCCAGGTAGCTAATTTAGTCAGTGTTGACTTTGGGAGAGAACTACTAGAATGTTAAAATGTCTTGGCAAATAAATTTGGTTTGCTTGAGTTAAATAGCTTAATTATAGGCTGCAGTGAAATGATCATTCTGGCAAAAAGATATAGTGCTGACAGGCTGTCTGAAAGGTTCATTCACCATCTATGCCTTTTCAGAAGTCTAGAGCAAGAGTAGAGAATAGACTTTGGCTTCTAGAAAAAATTCTGTCCATTTCCAAATGAAAATAATGTTTGAGATAAGTATCTGCATTTCTCCGATGAACTTCACCAATATATTTTGATGAGACAGTGAATGGGCCTATTGTAATTGCAATTTAAATGCTTTATAATGATATTAATATGCAGCTTGGAAGATGTCTGTGAAAACTCCTGTGATTTAGCAGAGAAATTCAGAAAACTTCAGCTGCACAAATTAATAAATAATAACAGCCAACCAACACTTATTGGGGGTTCCTTAAGTGTTTAATGTGCTTTATATCATTTAATCTTAAAAACAACTAATATGTGAGGATATAGATTATTATTTTTATGATTAAGCCCTATTTTTGGCTGCAGAAATTGAGGATTAGAGAAAGTACAACTTTCCCTGGGGTACACGGTGGGACTGGGTAATGGATGTGTTAACTAACTTATTATGGTAATCATTTCACAATATATCTCTGTATGAAAGCAAAAAAAAATTGTAATGGTTGAATAAATATCACATTTCCTGTTTTAAGGAACATACCCGCAAAATAAAATACAAATAAAAATAAAAAAAACTAAACTAAACTAATCAAACAGTGGAGCTAGGATAGGAAACCAAAGCTACCTAACTAACCAGCCTGTGTTCCTTGCCACTATGGCCCTGGTCAGCCATTCCTTTCACAGGCAATGTGAAACTTAGTGATCTCTGCATTTAAACTGTAATATAGCGCTTGTATATAAGATGTTGGTATTTTATTTATTTTTTATTTTTATTTTTTTGAAACAGAGTCTCGCTCTGTCACCCAGGCTGGAGTGCAGTTTCCCAATCTCTGCTCACTGCAACCTCCGCCTCCCAAGTTCAAGCGATTCTCCTGCTTCAGCCTCCTGAGTAGCTTGGATTACAGGCACCTGCCACCACACCCGGCTAATTTTTGTATGTTTAATAGAGGTCGGGTTTTGCCATATTGGCTAGGCTGGTCTCGAACTCCTGACCTCTGGTGATTCACTAGCCTCGGCCTCCCAGAGTGCTGGAATTACAGGCATGAGCCACGGCACCTGGGCTTTTTTCTAATTTTCAATACAAAAATTGAGGTTCAGGATCTTACCTAAGGTCACAGAGCTTAAAAGTTAGAAGATCTTGGTCTTTAATGCTATTGTTGGTGTTGCTGTTTTCAATTTTTAAAGAAAGTACTATTTACCTACTGTATTAGTTTGCTAGGGCTGCCATCATAAAGTACCATAAACTGGGTGGCTCAAACAACAGAAATTTACTCTCTCACAGTTCTGGAGGCCAGAAGTCCAATATTGAGGGGTTGGCAGGGTTGACTCCTCCTCTGAGGGAGGTGAGGGAACAGCCTGCTCCAGGACTCTCTCCTTGGCTCGCAGGTGGTTATCTTCTCCCTGTGTTGCTTTATATCATCTTTCTTCTGTGTGTGTGTGTGTGTGTGTGTGTGTGTGTGTGTGTGTGTGTGTGTGTGTTTTGATGGTATTGCTCTGTCACCCAGGCTAGAGTGCAGTGATGTGATCATAGCTTACTGCAAGGTCCAACTCCTGAACCCATGGATCCTCTGTCTCAGCCTTCTGAGTAGCTGGGACTACAGGTGCATGTCACCATGCCCAGATAATTTTAATTTATTTATTTTTTGTAGTGATGGGTCTCACTTTGTTGTCCAGGTGGGTCTTGAACTCCTGAGCTCAAGCAGTCCTCCCACCTCGGCCTCCCAAAGTGTTAGGATTGTAGGCATGAGTCACTGTGGCTGGCCTTGTTTTTCATTTTATATGGCATTCATTTTACAAAAAATTTATTTGTTTAGAATCCACTTTACTCTGGTATGACCTCATATTAACTATACATGTAAAGACCCTGTTTCCAAATATGGTAACATTCTGAGACATTGGGGGTTGGAACATGAACATATGAATTTTGGGGGGACAAAATTAAATTCATAACAACTAGTAGGCAAGTACTTTATAAAGTTATGACATTAAAAGTTATTTGCTATTGCTAGGGTGTTGATAGGGGTGTGTCTGGTAAGTAAGAATAAGGATGATCTTGTAAGAAAGACAATATCTTCTAGGAAGAGTTGTGCATCAACCTTCATTAACTCAGAAAATATGCTTGAATCAAACGACTACTTATATATGACTCTCTGCAATCATTTATTTACATTCAAAACTCCAAGGAAACATTTTCAGAATTATTCTATCCTAGATAGCAAATGAACCAAAGACACTTTAAGAATCAATCTCCCACCCCGTCCCCAAAGAAATGTTTGGCCTTAAAAATCATGTCCTACTTTCAAACTCCATACAGTAGTTTATTCTGCACTAGGCACCATTTAACACTATCAACATCATGTAATTCTTTGAGATATAGTAATTATTTATTAAAAACTGGATTCCAGCAAACATGCATTCTAAACAATGATGGATAATTTTTCTATCAGCAAAGAAAAGAGCTCGCCCAGAGCCAAAACAGCTTTCCCCAATTAAAAGTTGAGGTTGAATTGCTAATTTCATTTGGATTATACTAGTATCTGCTTGAAAATGGCAGGTTTCATTAGTTCTCCCAGTATTCTTCAGAGAAGGTTAAGAAACACATTCCCTCCACTTCAGATATGAAAACTGAGTTGCCCAGGGTGAAGTCGTTGTTTATCTTATGCACTTAGCAAGCACAATTGTTCATTCTATACGCACAGTGACTGTCTCGTTTGTGTATTTTTCAGCTTTGTTACAGTATACAAATTGGAAAACAGAGCTGTGTATGACAGCCTAGAGCAAGAGAAAAAGACTGTGAATTTATCATAAAGTCATTCAGGCTCTTTACATTCAGCCTGGAACAAACAAGTATTTGATAAAAGAAACCAGACCAATACAAAAGAAACGTCCAGTCCCTTTGGAAAGATTTTGTGATTATGACATAGCAGGAATATCCAATGAGTTTTTCACATGATATGTTAAATAAAAAGGTATGATTACATATCTTTAATATGACAGCATTTTCTTGAAATATTAATAGAAGTATTGCACTTTAGCTTTACTTAATGTAAGCAGGAATGCCAATGATGTTGGTTTCAAATTTTAAAATCAAAACCAAAATATGATTATTCAGGTATATTTTATGTTAGGATTTGGGATAACTGATTGTGAAATAAGACACAGGCACATGTACACACACACTCTCTCAACTCTTACTACACACTAACTATTAATCTCCCCCCAAATAATATCAAACCTATGGATATTTAATGGAATTTAACCTATTTCTTAGCTTATTCAATTGAAGTGCAGAGATGTTTGGCATTTTTACTAAAATCAAATATCATTGCCAATAGTAATCACCATGCACTGAGTACTTACCTGGTAAGCACTTTTTGTGTCAATTACTGTAACAAGATCCTGAGAGGTAAGAGACCAGGCTTTTTCCTTGGCTTTATGTCCCACTAGTCTTTGCTTTCTCTATTATACCATATTTAAGAAGATATCATAGTTTTTGATTATAGGTGAGTTGTCTGAGGGGTTTATTTTGTCCTGTTAAATGCTGGGTCTCATCAGCTAGGAAAGTGCCTTGACTATTGAATGTATTTAGTAAGTACTTGTTAACAGATCCACCAAATTGTGGAATTTAGTGAACATTGGAATATGCAGCTATAATTAGGTTTACAATTTATAAACAATAATGTTTATTATCTTAATTTATACTTAATAATATTGAGAAATACTGCATGTACCTACATCTATTAGAAGTCAAACTGTCCAAAATGGCATGTGTGGGAACACATGAAAAGCCTAGGATTTCTATAGGAGAGAAAACAACAGAGTTTGCAGCAACAGGGAGATGAGAAGGAGGCTGGGAATACTGACTGTAGCAGCAAAGCTTATCCTCCCTTCAGACCTGGAGGCAGCTTGATGCTGCTGAGTGTAATGGCAAGGAACTGGTGCCAAAGGCATGGATGTGTGGCAATCTCCAATCCAAGCTGGACCAGGGTCCATGTGGTTAGTAATCTAGATGGTGGTTTCCTCTGTTGAAGGGTCATGGCTAGAAGAGGATACAAAGAAATTTTAGAAGTGTTGATAATTCTTTGTTTCTTGACTTAAGTGCTTCTTACACTTGTGCAAATGCATCAAGCTGTATGTTTATGTGTGCTTTTTTCCTATGTGTATTAAAATTCAGTGACAAGTTGTAAAAACAAATTAATCAGACTTGGAATCAAGGTACACCTCTGATGGAAGAGGAATGAAAGAAACCAGGAACTGTTATTGGAATAGCTCTCTAGTACCAAAGATAATTGTGGGAGAAAACCAGTGGGCCAGGTGAAATGGTAACCAGAGAGCTTAGCAAAGGGTCTTTAAGAGCCTACTTGCAACATATAGGGACATTATGTTACTCTTTATGTAAATTCAGCATGATATAAGTACACGGGATCTACTCACACTTAGTACATAGATACTTAGTATAGCACATAGTATTATTTGCTGATGAAGAGGGTATTTCTAAAGAAATATGTTTGGATGTCATTGCCTCTGGTTTGAAAAGAAATGAATGTATATGAAACAGGCATCATTGTGTGCAGTTGGCATGCACAGGGAATGACAGGTAAACCAAGCTGTGGCTACTCCTACTTGCTTTTGATTTTGTGTTTGTTAGTATTATTTTTGTTGTTGTTGTTCTATTTGCAGGATGAATGCCTAAATTTATTAATCTTATTTTTGTATTATAATTGCCATCTATGTATAATTGATGCTAACAGAGAAAATTTCCATGTCTATAATATCTACCAATTAAAATTGAGAAAATATAGAAACAGGCAAAAACATGAAAAGGAAACTCAAACAAAATATATAAAATTGTGTTTACATGCATACAAATGTAAAATGAAAAGAGAAATACAAATTAATCCTCTATGGGGATACTATATCTCACCAATCAGGTTGGCAAAGACCGAAAAGGTTGTTTATACACTCTTTTGGGAAGAATCTGGGGAAACAGCATTCTCATATACTCCTGATGAGCATGTCCAATAGAACAATAGCTATAGAGGGGGATTGGCAATACCCAGCAGAACTAAAAATGCATTTATTCTTCAACCCAACTATCTCAATACTAGGAATTTAGTCTAATTATACAGCTCCAATAACATAAAAAGTCATACGCACAAAGTTATTTCTTGCCATTGTATTTGTAATTACAAAATATTGGAAACTATCTTTATGATCAAATATAGATTGGTTGAATAAACTAGGCTACATATTTGAAATAGATACACAGCAGCTGTGAAGAAAACCGATAAAATATAAGTTGACATGGGGTGGATTTGCTGGATATATTGTTTAGTGAAAAAAAGAAAAGTACAAAGAGCGTTTATTGTATGTTAACTTTTGTTTAAGAAAGAAGAAATGAGGAAACGTATATATGGTTGAAGCATTTCTGAACATATTTAAATGTACTGTAAATTGAGCAAATGAGTGATATGTCAATTGTGTTGGGGGCCAAGGTTCTCACCATGAAGGAAATAAGAAACATACGTGGAATGAGAGAAGACAAGAATGAAGCCTACTTAAAAATATATGTGTGTGTTAATGAGTATATATATATATATATATATATATATATATATATATATATATATACACACTTACATACTACATGCTAAGTAGCTCTGACAGCTGGATGGATCTAGAAACAAAAATATTGCAGTAACACTAAGCACACCTAAGATAGACTTTAATTATTAATACAATTATCATCTAAAAGAAATCAGATCTAGTTAGAAAAATTTTACCAGGTTGTGGTCGAGAAAGAAACTTGTTAAATTAAACACACCTTGTTATACCAGAAAGAAAGGAAAAATGATGGTTAATACAAAATTACATAAGAGCCAACTTGAAATAATTCATATTGGTCAAACCTGGACAATTTGAACACCAAAATAGTTAAGGACAGTAATGCATTGCACACCTTTAGAGAAAAATAGAAATGCTTAAGTCTATAGAGATGATAGGTAGGTAGGTAGACAGACAGATAGATAGATGATAGATATAGATAGATAGATAGATAGATAGATAGATAGATAGATACATACATACATACATACATACATACATACATACATACATACATAGGCAGGCAATAGATAGATAAAATGAGGCAGAAGAGAGGCCTCTTGCTTATAGTAGAATACGAACTTCTGACTAGGAAACGTGGAAGGGTGCTGGAGGTGGGAACTCAAGTCATCATTTGCAACCATCATAGTAAATACTAGTTCTGGCATAAGACATTAATGGTAATAAAAGTAGAGGATACGGAGAGTTTTGATGGGGAGAAGTAAATTTGTATAGTCTTAAAGTGTCTCTTACAAATCACTTATTAGTTGCAAGGGAAATGAATAATATTTACACAAGAGAAATTAAACATCTTGAGTGGGTAATCAAAATAAAAATTACAGATGAGAAGCAGACACTGTGCGCCTCCAGAGGCAGTGGACTGAGAAGGACCCAACACCGTGCATGTAGTGTCCCATGAAGAATGTAAGTGGATGTAAACATTATGAGAAAACAAAAGTCAAACCAAAATTGAAGAATATTCTATGAGGAATGTTCTACTAAAAAGATAAAGGAGAATACATTGTCTATGTATCAGTGTGATAAGAGACACTAAAAGGCTAAGGAGTTATTCTAGGTAAAAGAAAATTAAAGGGACATGATACCTACCTGTAATACGTGATCCTAGCCTGGATCCTGTCTTGGATAAGAAAAGATGCCCTAAAGACATAATTGGGTCAATGGATAATATTGGGATATGGAAGGTTTATTCGATGTAGCAATGTTAAATTTCCTGAAATTGATAACTATATACTTACCTACATATGTCCTTATTTGTATGAAATGTACACTATTTGGAAGTAAGTGAACATGATATGCAACTTATTCTCACATGGTTCAGAAAAAATAATGTGTGTGTTGGGGTGGTGGAAAAAGGAGAGAGAAGGAGAGGGAGAGAGAGAGAGAGAGAGAATGATAAACCACATAGCACAGAGTAAAATAGAAGAATAAGAATAAAGAGTAAAAGGACAAGTGTTCCTTATACTATTATTGCAGCTTTTCCATAATTTTGAAATTATTTCAAAAGAAAAGTTAAACAGATTTAATATTTCCCTGAAAATCCAGCATTAGAAACACATTACCACAGCTTGTATTCGTTTGTTTGTTTTAACAGGGTATTCTTTCAAAACCAGATTGCCTTATGTGAGTATATAAATAAACATACTAATCTTAAACCACTAATTGAAATCTGTATTAGTATATTTAATTGGATCTTTCCATTAACTAGCTAATAAGTGGTGTTCTCCAGAAAATAGAGATTTGACTTGATAAGGCAGAGGAAAAAGAAGTTAGACCAAGAGAACGACTGAGAAACAATGGGAGGGGCAATGAGGGACGAGAGAGCCTCCATCCCGTGTGGGTGTCTGAATTGACAGGAGCACGTGGAATATAAGAAAAAAGACACACCAATCTATCAATAGACAGTGTTATCTAGGACTATTCCTGATGTAAGTGATGAGTAGTCAGCTGCTGTTTTGTGTTTGGTTCTATATCATATGTTCAAAGATACTACCAAAGATGTACACATAGAACACTAAACTGTGGAATCATATTTGTTTCACAGGATTTGTAAGGTGAAGGGGGTGATAAGAATTTCCTGAAAGTCAATAAAACTGTGAATATGCTTTCAGGCATGGAGAACTCAAAAGCACCAACAAGTCACACTTATCAGAATAAGTTTGAAAGTGGAAAGAAAGAAGACGTGACATTAGCTTAGGACAATTGGATATTTCAAAACATATGTAGGAAAAGGTGCTAAGGGCCTTGACAGAAGGAAATAAATCACAATTAGATCTTGTTCTGGAAAAATCTGCTAAGATCTACGGTGGCAACTCAAGTCTGAGGAGGACATGAAGGTTTTCTCTTGCCAGAGGAGTACTTAGTGTTCCTTGGAGAGAGTTGTCAGGCAAATATGATATACAGATTCTCTGCACTCATTTGTTCTGTGAAGATATCAAAAAGAACCTGCCTAAATGAGAAAGAGATTTTTATCTAGTGGAATGGGCTTGCACTAAATGTTGTCTAGTTTCCCTGCCAACACTGACATTCTTGCATTCATCCTAAGGTAAACTGTTTTAAAAAGTTTGCACCAGGCTTCGTGGCTCATGCCTGTAATCCCAGTACTTTGGGAGGCCAAGGCGAGAGGATCACTTGAGCCCAGGAGTTTGAGACCAGTCTAGGCAACATGGCAAAACCGTGTTTCTACAAATAATGCAAAAATTAGCCAGACATGGTGGCATATGCCTGTAGTTCCAGCTCCTCATGAGGCTGAGATGGGAGGATCACCTGAGTCCAGGAGGTCGAGGCTGCAGTCAGCCATGATCACACCATTGCACTCCAGCCTGGGGCAACAGAGTGAGATCCTGTCTCAAAAAATTAATCAATTAATGAACTATAAAATTTAGCTACCCCATATGTAATATCAGTTGCTGAAAGGTAGTCATATTTATAAATCACATTTCATTTTTTTGCATTTTTATTATAATGTAAGCTTATTATTTAATATTCTTCTCCTTTAGATATAATTTGTCCTACATCATTTATTTGAAGTAATGTTGTACATGTCAGCATAAATGCCTTTCTTTCATCCTTAATACATTCAGAATACCAGGGAGAATCTGGCATTGGAGAAATGATAATGTAAGGGTTTTACATGACACATCAGGAAATTCCCAAACTTTCATAAGAAAGGCCCAAGTGCTGACACTATATGTTGACTCAGGTCCTATAAATGAAATCTTAATAAAGCAATTGAGATTGAGAATAAAGGTAAAATTTTGAGGCAATATAGGCAATAACATTAGAATTTCAGGGTTACTTCAGCAGAGATTAGAAAATGTGTTTCAATTTCCTCAACAGAGAACAAGTCAAATCTTAAAAGAAGAGCAGAGTCAACTTTTATTTTAAAGAGCATCACTAAACTGATTAATGGCACTTAAATGTGTCTGTTGACAGAACACCAGTAACAGTATTATGCATTAGCCCCTATAGTTATTGAAGGAGCTGCATATTTTTTAAAATTCCAGCTATTAAAGTCAAATTATAATCCTTGTTGGGTGCAGTGGCTCACACCTGTAGTCCCAGCACTTTGGGAGGCCAAGGCGGTTGGATCACCTGAGGCCGGGAGTTCAAGACCAGCCTGATCAACCTGGAGAAACCCTGTCTCTCCTAAAAATACAAAATTAGCCAGGCTGTGGTGGTGCATGCCTGTAATCCCAGCTACTTGGGAGGCTGAGCCTGGAGAATCGCTTGAACGCAGGAGGCAGAAGTTGCAGTGGGCCAAGATCGCACACCGTTGCACTCCAGCCTGGGAAAGAGGAGTGAAATTCCGTCTCAAAAAAAAAAAATATATATAATCCTAACTCTGAGTCTGAGACCTACCCTGACTCTAAGCTTAATTCCACCTCCAACCCAACTCAATTGAAAACAAAAATACAGGAACCACAAATCATAAGTGATTGAAGAAGAGAAAAATATTGCACGTGGTATCTCAGTGAGTAAATAGAAGGAAAGAGAACCAAAGATAGAGTAAAAGGAAATGTCTAAATTCAGCTGCCGGGCTAGGAAAATATGAAAGAGAAAAATTTAAAGAAAACCAATGTGGTCAGCAGTAAGAGGAAACCTAGAGTGGGGGAGGAAGAGGATCAATTGCTTTAAGAACAAGAGACTTGAGATTACCTTTAGAGGTGGGTTCAGCTCAAAATGTGAAACAAGATTTTAAATAGAGTGGTAAAAACAGAATGACATAAATACAAAAATGTGGTAAGACTTTTATTTAACAAATATTTATCAAGTTTATTTTTATTGTTCAGATGTTACAATGAGTAATGGATATATATAGACTCCACCATCATGACCCTCATGGAGATTAGAGCTAGATAGAATATAAAGGTGTGATTATGCAGTATGTTTTTAAAAAGTGGTTGAGGGTGGTGAGACAGAGGGAGAGAACTAAGGCAGTGGTAGACAAGAAGCTTGCACACCAGGGAGGTTGCTTTCTTTTTTATCTTTTATAGGCCAGGCAAAAGTGGAACATGTCTGTAGGTAAGAGGAACAGTGAATGCAAAGTCTCTGAGGGTGGCAGGGTGTGTGGCCTGGAGCTGAGAGGACAAAGGCATTTCCATTGACAGAGATCCTGCTATGTGGCAGGCAGTGTGCCAAATACCATTTGGTTTTATGAAAGTTCTAGAACAGCCCCTGCAGTTCAATAAGTACACAAACTAGATAGGGACATATTTATCTGAAAGAAAAATGGATCATATTGATCTACTCATCCCTATGAAGACTGAAAAGAGGATAGTCTATTGTGGAAAAATTATTTTAAAAATTAATGTTAGTTTAAAATGTATTGTCTTAACCTAAAGAAAGCATCTACATTCATTTAAAGTATTTATCAAATGATTGAAAAAAAATTTCTTGGAACAGAAAAAAAAAACGCATTATTGACATTCTGGTTTTATGGGTCCAAGCTGTTAAAATATGTATACCAGGGTCTTAAGGATAGAATGAGCCCTAGAATAATAATAACCTCCTTTGGATTAAGATAATTAATAACCATGATGTCTATTTGTTTGTCTGCTTTTGTACCCCTTCTTCCTACTGGATGCCAGCTCTCATATTTATCACTGATAGAACACAAATGGTAAAATTATAGGCTAGAATTTTTTTCTTGTTGTTTGCTTCTTTTCACATTATATGGATTTCCGTTTTAATTTATTTTCTTTTTTCTTTGTTTGTTTGGTTTTTTGTTTTTTGAGACCAAGCCTCATCCTATTTCCCAGGCTGGAGTGCAGTGGTGTGATCTCGTTTCACTGCAACCTCCGCCTCCCGGGTTCAAGCGATTCTCCTGCCTCAGCCTCCTGAGTGGCTGAGATTACAGGCTCATGCCCAGCTAATTTTTGTATTTTTAGTAGAGACAGAGTTTCACCATGTTGTCCAGGCTGGTCTTGAATTCCTGACCTCAGGAGATCCACCTGCCTCGGCCTCCCAAAGTGCTGGGACTATAGGCATGAGTGTTTTTCCTTACCCTTTCATTTTCTTGAACACATTTTAAAATTTTTAAAAATTTACAATTACAATGAACTGATGTTTAGGTGCTCAACAATTTTGTACAGTTGTCTTATTTAATAAAATCGATAGAAAACTTTTAGTGAAGAATAAAGTATTATACTAATGCATCATAATTTCTATTAATCTGACACTTAGAGATTGTGAATCCAATTCACAATCCAAGTGTACATTGCTGACACTTGGAGATTGTGAATCCATCTCTTAGCAGGGGGTAACCATAAAATTCCCCTCCTAATTTAAAAACTATCATTATAAAAAATCAGCATTCAGTGAGATAGGTCTACAAACATAAACTGCTTCTCAGTATCCTACAGGCCTGATTTTCTTCATCAGCCTTGTCAGGGTTGTGTTACATCGCTTCATCTGACTACATGAATGGCTAAAGAAAAAATAATTATATGTAATTTGCTGGATTTTGGAGCCATGGCGCCTTATAAATATTTAAAAGATATCGTATTTAGCAATCTGAACAGAGATGTATACTGATAATGCTTGAGACCTTGGCAACTCAATTAACCTCTGGGCATTGGATTTGGAATGGAGGGATTATTATTCATTGGCAATTGTATAACCACTGTAATTAAAAAGCACTTGCCAACCTTTTAATTATTAATCCTGTGGTTCATCCTCTTGTATAAAGGCTAACATGCCCATTTTACCAGTTAGTGGATTGGGGAAAATGAAGGGAAAATGATAGATGCAGGCGCGGTCGATGGCAATGTTAAGACTTTAGAATGCAGGACTTTTTCCACCTGCCAGTTCGTTATTCATTCTGATTAGAATCATTTATTCTATCTTAATTAATTCTGTATTTTGAGGGTTAAAGTACTTAGCGTTTGATATATTGAATTAATTCTTTACTTAAATCTCATGTTGCATTCCAAATACGTTCAATTTTGTAACATAAAAAGAGCTGTAGCATTTGGACCTTTCTTAATGACAACAAAAACGAAAAAAGTGTAGTTTTGGCAACTTTTGGATCATAACATGCTATTTCCTGAATAAATAGTGATAAATCACTTCTTACACTTCCTTGTTAAAAAAAGAAAAAGAAAGAGACTCAAATGTCCATCCTATGACATCTGGGCACAAAAAAACAAAAAACAAACAAAAAAAACGCTAATGACACTCAATGCAAAATATTCAGCCTCCTTCTGAATGAGAACTAATCTTTATGCATACTATTTGAATGTGTACCCTGGGGGAAAGGCATAATGTTACTTGGCTGTCTATCAAAGATATCACAGACAACTCTCAAAGGTTAGAGCAGATGCTTTTAATCAGATGCTGTTTTCATTTTTTATCTGAGTTTTCTTAAACTAAACTTGGCTAGGAATTCAAAATTCTGTGAAACATACATATGCACTCATATTTTTGCACTTGTGTGCAGCCAGACACATAAACATCGCCCTGTCTGTATGGTTCTTTATGGTACAGTGTTATAGCAGCCACTCCAGGGTGTAATGTGGTCATTCTGGTTCCCCCAGTTATTAAAAGTGTTTTGAACAGATTCAGTAATAAACCAGTGTTATAGTCACTTTTGTGCTTGAGTCAACCTTCATGCATATAGATTTCCACTTAATGGCAATTGTATTGGATTTATATGTTCTTACAGTGACCTCAGATACAGAAATAATGAGTGATCTTATTAATTTGGGACCTGTCTAATGTGGGTTTTGAAAAATAATGATTTGATAACTTAAAAACTCCTTTAGATCAGTAATTATGTCAAAGTATAGAATGAAGAGTGAACCTGTATTTAAAGAAGTGACAAAAAATTTTTCATATTTAAGTCTTTAAATGTATCTCCCAATAGTAGGCATTTATGACTGTACTGAAAAGTTTAATGTTTTCTCAAAGAAGTAAATAGCATAAGAAAATAGTTTTAAAAAGGAGCTTTATTATAGTATTAACTAATTGTTTGTTTATAAGCCTTATCTGCTTCAACATAATCATGCTACCAAGAACTTTATTCAATTGAGATGAAGAGTTATCAATAGCTGATAATTATCCAAGATAAGAGGTATGTCTTTCATATGACTCTATGCTTTAATTATAACATTAGTCAAATGTCCACATGGTATTTCCACAGTTAACTTGTAAAATGAGAATAGCCTTGATTCAAAATAACTAATTAAATACAGAATGTGATTCAATAAAAGTCACTGATTGGGTAATTAAGAGAAGAATTAGAAGACTTGAATGAAAATATATAATACTTGTAATCCTAATTAGTACTATGCTATTTGCTTCCCCTTCCATTACTAGACATTTACCAACCAAGTATTTAACCTTGAAAGAATCAAAGAAGCTTTTCTGAGCTCATACTAGTTCCCAAATAGAAGCTAGGCTATTTAAGATTTCTAAAGATTGAAGATAAAATACTTGCTAGCATGTCCTTGAAATGGAATTATGGACAAAAAGTGTTAGTTGCTATTATATAATGAAAACACAAATATAAGGAGTAAATCCACCTTAAGCAAAATGTCTAAATGCTTAGCTGTATTTATCAAGTGCTTTTCAATATTTTTTCTTCCTCCTTTTCTGCCCTCTTTGCTATTGATAGAGGTTGTTGTTAAAGGTATAGTTGTTTTCTTCTTCAGTTTTATTTTTAGAATTAAAATGCTCTAAGTAACCTTTTTTGGTGGCCATTATTTGACATTTTAAAATATGTACCTTTCTATATGTATAATATCATTCAGTGTTTTATTCTTCTCTTTAATAATGTAGAGCATTAGCATATTTACCAAGACATAAAAATTACAAAAGAATAAAATTAGAGATCTATATTTATAATGAATATAGACACAAAAATTAATTAGAAAAGTAAATCCAATAATTTTTATATAAAGACAATACCTTATGAATAAGTGGTATTTATCCCAGGAAAGTAAGTTTGGTTCAATATTTTAAAAAATCAGTAATGCAAATCATCATGATTATGGCAACAGATATAAAAAAATCATTTGACTAAATCTGACATTCATAAAATGACAAAGTGTTCTTAACAAAAATGGACTGGAAGGCAACTACCTCAAATTCATAATGGTCAACTATAAAAACTCACAGCTGATGGATGCAGCACTTAATGTTAAACAATAGAATATTATTGATTTTTGAATGAGAAAAAGATATGTTTTTACATTTTATTTAATATTACATTGGAGATTCTAGCCAATGCAGTAAGAAAAGAATAAACAGAAGCATAAAGATTGGAATAGAAGAAGTAGGCCTGTCTGTGTTCATAGATGACATAATAATTTATTTAGGAAATCCTAATCAATCTTAAAAACAAAACTACTGAAAGTAGTCAGGCTGGGCGCGGTGGCTCAAGCCTGTAATCTCAGTGCTTTGGGAGGCTGAAGTGGGAAGATCACTTGAGACCAGCCTTGGCAACATAATAAGACCTTTCCTCTACCAAACAAAGCAAAACAAAACAAAACAGAACCTGCAGGGTGGCAGGCTCCTGTGGTCCCAGCTCAAGTGGTCCCAGCTCAAGAGGCTGAGGTAGGAAGCTCATTTGCTCCCAGGAGTTCAAGGTTGCAGTGAGGTATGATCTTACCACCACACTCCAGTCTGAGTGACAGAGTCTATCTAAAAAAAAAAAAAAAAAAAAAAGTATAAATTTAACAAGGCAACAGGTTATAAGATTAATACAAAAAATTCTATATGCTAGCATCAAATATTCGGAAAATGTAATTTGTAAAAGGAATACCATTTAAAATAGGACCAAAGACTTGAAATACTAACAGTTAATTATAATAAAAATTATACTGACATTCTTTACTGTAATTAAAAATACTCTGTAAGAAACTAAATAATAGCTAACACAATGGAGAGATACATAAGGCTTATTAATTGTAAAATATGTTAACTTGTTCACTATCTTCAAATTGAGTAGGTTTTTAAATTTACAAGGTGATTCAAAGTTTACTTGTACTGCAAAAGGCCTAAAATAATCCAAACTGGGTTTGAAAAAAATTGGAGGAAATACAAGAATTTCAAAAATTACTATAAACTTATAATAAAGATAGTCTTGTATAGCTGTAAATATAAATATATAGATGAAGAGTCCAAAATTGAGTCCACAAATAGACTCACATATATATGGAGAATTAAATTTTAATAAAGCCACCAATATGATTAAATGCAGAAGAGAATAGTCTTTTCAACAAATGGTGTTAGAAAATGATATCCATATGGAGAAAATGAACACTGCTGCTTCACATTCTACACAAAAATGGATCATGTACCTAAATGTAGGCACCACTAGTTTTAAACCTCTAGAAGAATATAAAGGAGAAAATATTCAGCCTTGGGATAATCAGCCATTTATTAGGACAAAAAAGTATTAGCCATAAAAATGATAAAAGCATAACACAGAGAAATCAAAATCTTCTATTCTTCAAATGACACACTAAGAAAATGAAAATCAAACCACATGCTGGGAAAATTCATTCACAATACACAAATACAGTAAAAGCCTTGTATACAGAAACACAATGACCCGTTTTCCTTGAAAAGGAATCCTTGTACTAGTCATACTATTGTCTTTGCGTCTGCTTCTCAGAAGATCTAAATGAATACATTCTTCTTCTATTTCTTATCACATATATTATTCTCAGAAGATCCACCCATTTCTGTTATTATTCAGAGGTGCCATCCAAACATAATAACAAAATGTTTTACCTACTGAATTCAGTGCTATTTGCTGTATCATTCCAATGTTCCCCCCGACAGTTTCTCATCTGCCTGTTTTACTTTTTGAAACATTGGGATCCAGGCTTCAGGTTGATGTATCTAAAGTACATATACACATGCACGGAAAGTCCAAGATAAAAGAAATATTATCAATAGGAAATGAAAATTCCAAACCTTTAATATTAGGTAATTCCATATAAGCCTTTATAATAAAATATTTATCTCATTGTTTTCCAAAATAATTTTTATTTACATTATTTTTTACATTTCAGTACATGGTAAAGTTTAGAAGATTTGATATTTGAGAAAGGGTAAACAGTCTTTAGCTCCTGCATATTAATAATTTATTTAACCACTGACACTAAATATGATGTGCCAAATAAGAAAACAATTAGCAATAATATTAACATTCCCACTGTTTTCTCATGGTTAAAAATAAAAAGTTGTGCTTTATTTCTAATTTGTGATGGAAAGGTATGTCCATGACTTCACATATGATTGTACCTGCATAACACATTTGGCTGGCACGGCAAGTGGGAGCTGAAATCCTTTTTTTCACCATGTTTCACTATGTCAAATTTAACTTTTGACAATTTAATTGGAAGAAATCCATGTACTTTCTTAAATATGTCTTGAATATTCAGGGAACATTATTTGTAATAGAGCAGAGTTGGAAACATTTGTCTATCAGTACAATATTTCTGCAATCAATTACAGTATACTCACATGATGGAAAACAATGTACCTGATAAAAGTAAACAAGATAGATGTATAATATACCACGGTAGAAACATAACTTCGATAGGGTCTTTCTTCTAAAACATTGTAATATCATATATATTACATATCATTTTATAAACATAGATTATTTTTATATGTAGATGCATATAACAACCTAGAAGGATATATGGAAATCTCTTTTTTAATCTTTTACTTTAGGTTTGGTGGGTACATGTGGAGGCTTGTTACATAGGTAAACACGTGTCACAGGGGTTTGCTGTAAATATTTGATTTCATCACCCAGGTATTAAACCCAGTGCCCAATAGTTATCTTTTCTATTCTTCTCCCTCTTCCAAACTTCTGTCCTCGAGAAGAACCCAGTGTCTGTTGTTTCCTTCCTTGTGTTCATAAGTTCTTATCATTAGGCTCCCATTTCTAAGTAGGAACATGTGGTATTTGGTTTTCTGTTCTTGTGTTAGTTTGCTAAGGATGATGACCTCCACCTAGTCCATGTTCCTGCAAAAGACATGATCTTGTTCTTTTTCAATGGCTGCATTATATTTCATGGTGTATATTTAGCACATTTTCTTTATCCAATTTGTCATTGATGGGAATTTAGGTTGATTTCATATCTTTGCTATCATGAATAGTGCTACAATGAACATCACGTGCATGTGTCTTTATGGTAGAATGATTTATATACCTCTGGGTATATACCTGGTAATGGGATTGCTGGGTCGAATGGCAGTTCTGTTTTTTAGCTCTTTGAGGAATCATCATGCTGCTTTCCACAATGGTTGAACTAGTTTACACCCACCAACAGTGTATAAGTGTTTCCTTTTCTTCACAACCTCATCAGCATCTGTTATTTTATTTACTTTTTCATTGTAGCCATTCTGACTGGCGTGAGGTGGTATCTCATTGTGGTTTTGATTTGCAGTTCTCTAATGATCAGTGATAGTGACTTTTTTTTTTCATATGCTCGTTGGCTGCATGAATGTCTTCATTTGAGGAGTGTCTGTTCATGTCCTTTGCCCACTTTTTAATGGAGTCGTTTGTTTTTCTCTCATAAATTTTAAGTTTCTTATAGATACTGGGTATTAGACCTTCATCAGATGCATAGTTTGCAAATATTTTCTCCCATTCTGTAGGTTGTCTGTTTACTCTGTTGATAGTTTCTTTTGCTGCAGAAACGCTCTTAAGTTTAATTAGATCCCACTTGTCAATTTTTTCTTTTCTTGCAATTGCTTTTAGTGTCTTTGTTGTGAAATATATGCCCATTCCTATATCCAAGATGGCATTGCCTAGGTTGTTGTTTAGGTGTTTATAGTTTTGGATTTTACATTTAAGTCTTTAATCCATCTTGAGTTGATTTTTGTGTATGGTGTAAGGAAGGGGTCCAGCTTCAATCTTTTCCATATGGCTAGCCAGTTATCCCAGCACCATTTATTGAAGAGGGAGCCTTCCTCATTGCTTGTTTTGTCATCTTTGTGAAAGATCAGATGGTCGTAGATGTGTGGGCTTACTTCTGATATCTCTATTCTGTTCCATTGGTCTATGTGCCTGTTTGTGTACCATTACCATGCTGTTTTCATTCCTTTAGCCTTGTAGTATAGTTTAAAGTTGGGCAACGTGAGGCCTCCAGCCTTATTCTTTTTGTTTAGGATTGCCTTGGCTATGCGGGCTCATTTTGGTTCCGTATGAATTTTAAAATACTTTTTTCTGGTTCTGTGAATAATAATCTTGGTAATTTGACAGCATAGCATTGAATTTGTAAATTGCTTTGGGCTGTATAGCCATATTAATGATATTGATTCTTCCTATCCATGAGCATGGGAGGTTTTTTAATTTGTTTGTGTCTTCTCTGATTTCCTTGAGCAGTGTTTTGTAATTCTCATTGTAGAGATCTTTCACCATCCTGGTTAGCTGTATTCCTCAGTATTTTCTTCTTTTTGTGGCAATTGTGAGTGGGATTGCCCTTCTGATTTGCCTGTCTGCTTAGCTGTTGTTGGTACCCAGAAATGCTAATAATTTTTGTGCATTGATTATGTATCTTACAACTTTGCTGAAGTTGTTTATCTGCTGGAAGTGCTTTTGGTCTGAGACTATGTGCTTTTCTAGATATAGAATCATGTCACCTGCAAACAGAGATAGTTTGACTTCTTGTCTTCCTATTTGGATGTGCTTTATTTCTTTCTCTTGCCTGATTGCTCTGGCTAGGACTTCCAATCCTATGTGGAATACAAATATTGAGAGAGGGCATCCTTGTCTTGTGTCAGTTTTCAAGGGGAATGCTTCCAGCTTTTGCCCATTCAGTATAATGTTGGCTGTGGTTTTGTCATAGATAGCTCTTATTATTTTGAGGTATGTTCCTTCAATACCTAGTTTATTGAGAGTTTTTAACATGAAGTGGTGTTAAATTTTATTGAAAGCCTTTTATGCAATAATTTAGATAATCATGTGTTTTGTTTTTTGTCTTTAATTTTGTTTATGTGATGAATCACATGTATTGACTTATCTATGTTGAAATAACCTTGCATCCCGGGCATGAAACCTACTTGATCATGGTAGATTCGCTTTTTGATGTGCTGCTGGTCTCAGTTTTGTATTAGTCAGGATTCTCTAGAGGGACAGAACTGAATAGGATGTATGTATATTTGAAAGGGAGTTTATTAAGGATAATTGACTCACATGATCACAAGGTGAAGTCCCATGATAGGCCATCTGCAAGTAGAGGAGCAAGGAAGCCAGTAGTGGCTCAGTCCAAGTCCCAAAAACTCAGAAGTAGGGAAGCCAACAGTGCAGTCTTCAGTCTGTGGCCAAAGGTCCAAGAGCCCCTTGCAAACCACTGGTATAAGTCCAAGAGTCCCAAAACCAAAGAACTTGGGGTCTGATGTTCAAGGGTAGGAAGCATCCGTCATGGGAGAAAGATGAAGGCCAGAAGACTCAGCAAGTCAGCTTCTTCCACCGTCTTCTGCCTGCTTTTTCTAGTTGCACTGTCAGCCAATTGGATGGTTCCCACCCACAATGTGGGTACGTCTTCCTCTCCCAGTCCACTGACTCGAATATTAATCTCTTCTGGTAACACTCAGAAACACCCAGAAACAATACTTCGCATCCTTCAATGATCAAGTTGACACTTCATGTTAAGTTTATCACAAATTTGCAAGTATTTTTGCTGAGGATTTTTGCATCATAGTTCATCAATGATATTGGCCTGAAGTTTTCTTTTTTGTGTGTGTTTCTGCCAGGTTTTGGTATCAAGATGCTGGCCTCATAGAATGAGTTGGGGAGGAGTTCTCCCTCCTCAATATTTTGGAATAGTTTCTGTGGAATGGTACCGGCTCTTCTTTGTACACCTGGTGGAATTCGGCTGTGAATCTACCAGGTCCTGGGCTTTTTTTTTTTGGTTGGCAGGCTATTTATTACTGATTCAATTTTGGAGCTCATTATTGGTCTGTTTGGGGAATCATTATTCCTGGCTCAGTCTTGGGAGGCTGTATGTGTTCAGCAATGTATCCATCTCTTCTAGGTTTTCTAGTTTGTGTTCACGGAAGTGATCCCAGTAGTTTCTGATGGTTGTTTTTATTTCTGTGAGATCAGTAGTAACATTCCCTTTGTCATTTCTCATCATATTTATTTGGTTGTTCTCTCTTTCCATTAGTCTAGCTAGTAGCAAACATTATGAAAATGAATTTAGACAAGATACTAACTTTCAATGTGAATACTTCTATATATTCAAAGTTTTAAACAAATATGAGTTTACTTATAATCAAATATATGTTTTGTAAATTGCTGTGTGGAAATCAGAGGCTGCTCATTTCTCATTCAAACTAACTTAAAGATACTATGTTAAATGTTCTACAATCATAACTTTAAAGTTGTTTTCTCTAAGAGTTTGAAAAAGAACCAGTATTTTTGAGGTTGTGTCAATAGAGTCATGATTAATAACAAGCATAATAAAAATTTTTATTAAAAATAAGCAATTAAATATTCTTCTTTTACTATATTAATGCTCCTGAGAATTATAACTTTCTAAACAATTTAAATGAAACATGAGCTTTTAAGCTTATAGTAGGTGCTCAAATGTTTAGGAAAAATGAATGCCAAAAATAGCTATATTGTTTATTCAGTGGAAGGAAAAAAGACTAAACATAATTTTTACACATTGTCTGTTTATACATTACTTTGCTAAAAACTTACAAATAGATGGACTCATTTATTTTAGAGATCTGTGTGTGAAATGTATTGAAATGGATTATAACATTTCCCAATGGGACACATCTACCAGCAAAGCATTTCAGGAGTGATTTTATGTATATGTGACGAATTAGGCAACTTATGCTTGAAAATATCAGAAATATTAAACAGGCACATCTAGGGGCATTTAATTCTTACCAATTTTGTTTTTTCCTGTCTCTTAAGAAATAAGAGCAGGGTGTGGTGGCTCACGCCTGTAATCCTAGCACTTTGGGAGGCCGAGGCGGGCAGGTCACCTGAGGTCAGGAGTTCAAGACCAGCCTGGCTAAAATGATGAAACCCCATCTCTACTAAAATACAAAAATAAGGCGATCCTAATGGCAGGTGCCTGTAATCCCAGCGACTCAGGAGGCTGAGATAGGAGAATTGCTCAAACCCGGGAGATGGCGGTTGCAGTGAGCCTAGATTGTGCCACTGTACTCCAGCCTGGGTGACTGAGCAAGGCTCCGTCTAAAAAAAAATAAATAAATAAATTAAATAAATAAATTAAAAAATGATATAGCTACATGAGCTCAGTCATCAATGATAGGCTAGAAAGAGTAAATTACAAATAACAAAAATTACTATATTTAACAATTATTGTAAACTTTGACATCCATCTTCTTATAATATTTGCAATAAAATATATTTTCAATGAGATAGTGACATGGATGTATTTTTGGTTATAAATCATATGATTTATTATTTCAAAAAAACTATCCTTAATCATTAACAGTAATGTCTTTACATTGAGAAACTATGCAAATCTCAGAATATTTGTCTCCTAACATGTTTTATGAGCATAACAAATTCAAAAAACACAGAACTATAACTCTTTTGTTTTACAACTTGATACATCACATATTGCTATTCTCCAAAGATTTCCTTCCTAATTATGTTTTCTTCTACATAATATTAAAGTTCATTGACATTCTCATAATACACAACAGGATGTCTGCATGAAAATTGCCTGCAAGCAATGTTGGCTGATGGGAGAATGCTAGCTTATATTAAAAGGTAACTATTATGGTTTTATCAATAGAAAGAAAAAGAGTTAATTACATTGGTACTTATCTCTTTCCCTTTTGGGCCAGTTAAATTATTGAATTTTTTTTTTTTTTTTTTTTTTTTGGTAAATTGAATTCTTCATGGGAAGGTACGTCATCCACCTGTATGAAAACAGATATCACAAGAAAAAAGTATATATAGACCACCCCCCAAAAAACAAACTTAATAAAACTATGTATTTCAAATAGAATTATTTTTTTCTGGTTGAAAAAGAAAGTTGGAAACAAAATCTGTGACAAAACCCAGGCTTTGCCTGTACTTTAACGTAAACCAATGCTGCACTTTATGCTTACTATTTTGTTGTCTTGTAAGGAGAATTTCTAGAGGGTGGTTGGGTTCCATGCAACTTAATTGTAAGTGTCAGCTGAAAGACCTACAAAGACATTGTCAGTTATTGAGTTTCTTATCAAGCCAATAATGTGGTACGGCTGTTGTACTAATAATGAAGTTTTAATTAGTTCTCAAAAATACTGAGAGCTTATTTAAGGCCTCCAAATTGGATAGTGCATGCTTAGCTTGAAGGCATCAATGCATCCCAAACATATCAAAATAACTGTCAAACACATTGTATACACATTAGGAGATAATAGCTAGAAGGCTTAACATCTATCTTAGAAATACTGTATGCACAAATTGTTCAAGGAAGTTCTTTCTACACTTAAATGATTGTCTTCAGAATATTGTATTTTATAATTTAAGCAAATTGTCATGCAAATGGTTCAGTGTTATCTGTTTATCTGAGGGTCAGTATAGTTGAGAAAATTCATTTTAGCCAATGTTTATCGTTATTCCAAATGGGAGCATTCTCTATTCATAACTATCCCAACATAGCACCTGCATTTTTACTTATAAATACTTATTGCTTGTTTCCAATATTTTACTGCATGAGAAATTGTGCCAGATCCCTCTTCCCTAATCCATGGGTAGTTCAAAGATACTAACATTTAAGAAACAGTTGATTTAAACTTCTACCATTGGAGAATTGTTGATGTCTTTTCAATGCATTGGGTGGATTTAGACCACTGCATTCTTATATGCCTGTCTATTAATGCTATACAAGATGTCTGGTTTAAACTAACATTACTGGAAGTAACCCTTTCTACCCCATCCCATCTCCACCCACACGTCTACAAAAAGAATTTTATGCAAGACAGATTTTGAAGCACATAGAGGAGGAGCTAACATGAGTTGCTGCTAGAAAAATAATAGCTGTGTTATTTGTACTGACAGTTTGTATTTCTTCTCAAATCATTTATTTTCACAAAATTGGTCTGGCTCTTATTTTTTCAAAGGACGTAAGCTACTTCATTGTTGTTGTTATGGATTTCTGATATAATGACATTAATTACTTGCTGTGTGCCAGGGACTTTTTTAGGCTTAGAGGGTGAAAGTGTAGAACTGGAAGTGCATGCGATTCAGAGGCTGCACAGTGACCCTCTGTGGGTAAGAAGTGGGCTCCTAGAGTATTTGAATTATGAATGCAAGTGGGTCAAGGGAATGAGGAATGGGGTGTATGAGAAGAATAATAAGCATGGAGAATAGGACATATGGCTTGTTTCGGGGAACTACAAGATGTTTCCTATTTCTGTATCACAATTACATGAGGATAAAGGGAGAGGCCCAAGGATATAATGATTACAATTTGAGGGGGAAGTGTTTACTACATTCAGAGAGCCTGGGTCATATTCTGTTAGTACATCATGTTTTTCGTCAAATTTTGAGTGACTATTATGTGGAGGTGGAGGATCTTCTTTTGATATTGATTTAAAAATATTATTTACAAAGATATTATATATTTTCTTCCAAGAAAATATAGCTTATATTATACCTACAAGAGTTCATGATTTGTAGGGGGCACCAAATTAAGTCGGAAATGCTAAAATGTCACACATTTCAGGAGAAATAAATCAGAAAGAGGTGGGTTTATTGGTGAAGGATCAATTTGATGCATCAAAAAGAGGGTTACTCTTAAATTCTCGGGAGAAGTGAACTCAGGAAGAAGGAAATATCAAGTCTGACGTTAAAATCTGATGCCAGGAAATAGGAACTTGTATATAAAAGATCCTGAATATAGCTGATGTTTAGGAAAAGTTTATTAAAGTGAATTCACCTAGGATAGAAAACAATATGGTATAATTAGTAGTTAAAATGAGGATCTATTAGAACTTTGTCTAGATAAACAAAAGAAATTAATTCATGTTTATTTTTTATTTTTATTTTATTTTATTTTTTTGAGATGGAGTCTTGCTCTGTCACCAAGGCTGGAAGTGCAATGGTGCAATCTTGGCTCACTGTAACCGCTGTCTCCAGGGTTCAAGTGATTCTCCTGCCTCGGCTTCCCGAGTAGCTGGGATTACAGGCACCTGCCATCATGCCTGGCTAATTTTTGCATTTTTGTAGAGATGGGGTTTCACCATGTTGGTCAGGCTTTTCTTGAACTCCTGACCTCAGGTGATCCGCCCACCGTGGCCTCCCAAAGTGCTGGGATTACAGGCGTGAGCCACCACACCTGGCCTCATGTTTCTTTTTATAACAGAAAATTGTAATTGTGTGACTGTGTAACAAAATTGTAATTGCAGCTATACTTCAGTTCTTCACTTAAATTGTTTGTCAAGTTTTGACATGATTCTTTCAATAAAATTGTATGATAACACGACTTCTCATTCTGCTTCTGTGGCATTATCACCTGAAAGTCATTTCTGCAAAGAATTATTTCAGAGTCTTATCAGTTTCCCAATTAGCGCTTTTGTTTATTTTATATTCAAACCATTTTATTTTTAAAAGCCTATTGTGCAATCATTCTTGCCAATTTCTCTTGATCAGAATAGGTCTAACTGCTTTGCACATGTTTTGAACTGTTCTACATCAACGTCATTAACTTTGGAAAGACCTCCTTCTTTTGTAAAATTTGCAATTTCATTATTCAATTTACATTTATTTGCATTATAAGTAGCGAATAACTAAGAATATATTGACATGAAAGACAGACATAGGCTGAAAGGCAAAGACAGGCTCTAGTGTAAAAAGGCAGAAAAGGATGATTTAATGGCATCTGAGATTGTAAGTGGCATTTTGTTATACATATTTTCATGAGAAGCTGAATTTGGTTCTCTACACAAACTTATAACTGAAGGGATTCAGATAAATAATTCTCCTATATGGAGGGCCTCTGGAATAAACAAGATTATATCTTAGGATCTGACTAAAATGGCCTCAATGTTCCCCACAGCTTGATTAAACTTTACACAAGCTGCTGCTTAAATCTAGGCCCTGACCTCCCTTTTCTTAGAGCATTCCCTTTAGAAAACTAGTAATTGTAAATCCTTTCTCTGACTCTTTGAGATGTAAATCTTTTTTGAAAGTGCTTTGCCAGTTTTAAAACACGAAACTGTCTTTCTCAAAAGACCTGGAAGCCAGCTCTTCGAAATGTAAACATCAATGAAGACAGAGCCCCTGTCTTCCAGCTTCTGTGGGATAGCAGGAGCCTACATTTGAAGGATGCTTTGCTCCAAGGTGTAAAACTACCTCCTAAGAGGCAGTTTGCTTTTGGCGGGGGGGCAAAGCCAGTTAGGAAATACTGGTGGCCTAAAACCCAGGTCCTTTATGACCTAATTCTAGCTTTATAAAAATTTTTCAGCTTGGCCAGGTGTGGTGGCTCATGCCTATGATCCCAGCACTTTGGGAGGTTACAGCAGAAGGGTCACTTGAGGCCAGTAGTTCAAGACCAGCCTAGACAACATAGGGAGACCTTATCTTAAACACACACACACACATACACACACGCACACACACACACACACACATACACAGCAAAAAAAAAAAAAAAAAAAAAAAAAAACAAAAAACAAAAAAACGAGAAGAAGAACAAAAACATCTTTTTGGGGGCAGGAGTTGCAGTACAGCTCACTTTGACTTTTGGCTTCCCTCCTCTCTTACATTAAACTCCTGGCCTGTTTAACTTTGTTTGGCAGATTGTTTTGGTTTTTTGCTTTGACAGATCCAAATAAAATAATTAAATCAGTCAGGACTGAGAGATCTAGATGCATGTTGACTCTTAGGGAGTTCATGGGATCGTCACCAAATCTATTCTTGCATCACCTGAATCTTCCCAGGTTGAAGATGAGAGCAGACACTGAAGGTCATATTCTTGCTGCTGGCTTGTATTTGCTGCCAAGTCCCCCAGGGCATGTTCTTTTTCCTTCTGTGAATCAGGTCGGATTTCATATACCATTTTGTGTTATTTATTTTGGAATTTTTCTCTTAAAATAGCTCCTCCGTAAAGAAAGCATATTGTTCATATCATTGTGATTATGATTTCAGCAAAGGAGATAAAACTCTATAATAAAATAAATGTCCTTCCTAGAAAAATATTTGAGTTGAATAAAACTTCAGAATACTGCCAGGAATATTGTAACTTTCGTTTGCCTCAAAATGCTATTCTGATCCTTCATCTTTCATTATTAATCCATTCAACAACCATTTATTAAACCCTTACATTTGTGCCAGAACCTTCTAGACATACTGATTTAAAACATGTATTCTCAAGTTGCAAAATCGCCCTCCAGATCACCCTGGGTCATTGGATCAACGATACAATAATGTGTATTGTTGATTATCAGGTCAACAATGATCCAATACACATTATTGGGTCAAAATTGTTGACCTAATTCACATTATATGTGTTTTTCACTCAAAAAGTCTGGAAGGCTCAGAAAAGACTGGAGGAAATGCACATTTTTTCCTCTGTCATACCCATGCATATTGGTTGTTCTAGATTAGATAATTAAGTAGACTTAGTGCAAAAATCATTTTATTTTCATATTTCACTATTTAGGTTATTGGTATATTTGTAACTTTTTACTTTTAACTACTGCTTTAAGCGTTTTTCATTGATGACATTAAGCATGTAAGAAATGATCTTAATGGTTATTTTGACTATAGATATCAGTGTCTTTCTCATTATGTGCTTTGTATAAGAAAGGACATAAATATCAAGCAAGAAATAACAAAAGCATTGCATTCAGAAACAAGAACATACAAGTTAATGAAAAGAAGGTAAAACATAATTTTTTCGACCATTAAAAACATAGGAAAGGGGCCAGGCATGATGGCTTTTGCCTGTAATCTCAGCACTTTGGGAGGCTGAGAGGAGAAGATCATTTGAGGCTAAGAGTTCGAAATCAGCCTGGGTAACATAGTGAGACCCCCCCATCTCTATAACAAAACTTAAAATTAGCCTAGTGTGGTGCCATGTGCCTGCAGTCTTATCTGCTGGAGTGGCTAAACCTGGAAGATGGGTTGAGCCCACAAATTTGAGGATGCAGTGAGCTATGATTGCCCCACTGCACTCCAGCCAGGGTAACAGAACAAGAGCCTGTCTGTAAAATATATATATATATAAAATATGTGTATATGTGTATATAAATAATATGTGTATACTATATATGTGTGTGTATATGTATACATATATACATATGTGTGTATACTATATATGTGTGTGTATGTATGTATGTGTGTATATATGTGTATATGTACATATACATATATGTATACATATATATGGACTTTTAAACTTTTTTAGCAGCTCTATGGCTTTCAGTGCTATTTGGATATTTACTTTGAATGAAGCAAGATTATTTGAGAACTGTTTATATTTCATGATGTCACCTTCCATGATAGTTTTTCTATTATAGGAGATTCTCAGTTCATTACCCGACCATGATGACAAGTGAAAACTATGAATTATTTTCACTAAATCAAGTAATCGACTTTCATAAAATACAGTTCATTAATGTTTCCTCTTCAGCATATTGTTTTAAGATAGTCCTAAGTCATTTTCAGTTCTTTAACATAATAAAATACTCAATAGAATACATTAAAAGAGGATTCAGAACTTGTATTCTTTCATTTTAAAATGTCTCCTGGAAACACAATTTACTTTATTTTGGTGTTTATTCATGGGCCAACGTCCCCTAATTATGATAGCTGTATCTTGAATACTGTTAATGCAACCACTTCAATTTGAGTGGTAGATATCTTCTATTTATTCTTCTAGATCCACTCTCCACATTTTTTACCATAGTATTTGGCAGGCTGCTGACTTCTGTCAGTGACATTAATTGACTTCTTGTCCTTGATCTTCTTCTTCCATTTGGCCAGTGGCAAACCCTGGGAGGAGAGGGGAAGGAAGAAAGTGATGATGTATTATCTTTTTTTTTTTTCTATAATGCTAACTTCATTTTGCTAGTCACTTAGGAATATTTTTTTACAGCTGAATTGCTGAGTAAGACTCTACATTTTCCCTTTCCCACAAGTACTCTTGAGTTTTTTTTTTTAATAAGATTATACCAGCCCTATGTTTATGTTAGAAAAGATGACCTAAGGTAGGAGTTAGAAAACCATATCTTTTTAATATCATAAAGCAGACGCTGTCATTCTCTTTTGAAAAAATTATTTCACTAGTTTAACTTCACTCTCTGAATGAAGCCCTAACTCTTTTAATTGCCAGGAGGCCCTTCATAAATTGACAGCGCCTGTTTCTCTGACCCCATTTCTGTGGACCTCCCCTGCCCTCACTCCACTCTAAGTACATCAGCTTTCTCGCTGCTTCTCAAAAAAGATGAGCTTTTCCTTGCCTCCTGACCTTTGCAACTGTTTGCCTTACCTGCCGATCTTCTTACGCTTTCTTCCACCCTCTCCACTCCCCATTGAAATGTCCAACTCAAAGCAGCTCTGACCACTTTCAAGAACTCCTAGTATCTCTCTAACCCCTTATTTTGTTTTACTTTGCTATAATGGACACTTACCTTTTGCGAACTTTATTTGCTCATTTGTTTAATGCCTTTCTTCAACAAAATATCAGTTGTGAGGGAAAGGACTGTCTGGGTTGCTTTCAATCACATTTTCAAACCAAGAAACACTCCAGGCTTGTAGTAACTGCTCCATAAGTATGTGTGGAATGAAATATAATGGAAAGCAGATGCCTTCATAGGTTGACTGAGGCAGTGTCTGTGCTGCCATTTCATTGCCCTGTGGCAGGCATCATTTTCCCATCACTGCATACTTGATTTGATTTACTCTTCTGACTATTAATTCTAGTTACTATTATCAATAGATGTTGGCATAGATGATAAACTTCCTTTCCACTCTTTCTACATTTAAAACCATTCTGGATTTTTTAAAATTAGAATTAAATGCATCCAGTTATATAAGATATTCCCAACTTTTATATATCATGTTAGTAAACATGTTTTAAAATTATTTTAATGTTACATTTGATAAGCTGTCAAGAGGCAGTGTTGAACAACTTTATATTGTTCTCTTTTCTATTAATTATCCTTCATTTTCTACAAGATTTAAATAAAATATATAATATTAAATTAGCATTTACTATGTTACAGACACTCTTATGAGTGTTTTACAGGAATTAGTTCATTTAAGTCTCATAACACTCCATGAAGTCAGTACTCTCACTTCCAAGATATGGGAATTAAGGCACAAGTAATTTGTCTGACAAATGCCTGGGTCCAGAACCTGGCAGGGACTGTGGAGCTGAGAGCCTTCTCCCAAAATGAGAACAGCTTGTTTCTACATCTTAGCTCATGAGCTCACGGTCAGTGCTCAGTGAATGTTATTTTTCTTTATAATAATAAAGAAAATAAAGATTGTATTAGTCTGTTTTCACACTGCTGATAAAGACATACTGGAGACTGGGTAATTTATAAAGAAAAAGAAGTTTAATGGGCTCACAGTTCCACGTGGCTGGGGAGGCCTCACTATCATGGCTGAAGGCAAAAGGCACATCTTACATGGTGGCAGACAAGACAGAACAAGAGCCAAGTGAAAGGGGTTTCCCTTTTAAAACCATCAGATCTCGTAAGACTTATTCACTACCATGAGAACAGTATGTGGGATACCACTCCCATGATTCAATTATTTCCCACCTGGTCCCTCCCACAACACATGGGAATTATGGCAGCTAAAATTTCAAGATGAGATTTGGGTGGGGACACAGCCAAATATATCACAGATAATAATGAAAAGTTTATGTCCTCCACAAATTCACATGTTGAAAGCCTAATACCTATTGCTATGGTATTTGGAAACAGGAGCCTATGGTGATTAGGTCCTGAAGTTGGAGCCTTCGTGATGGGATTAGAGCCCTTATAGAAAGAAATTCATAAAAGCTCCTTTATGCTCTCTCTTTCTGCCATTCGAAGAACACCAAGAAGGTAGCCACCTGTAAGCCAGGAAAAGGGCCCTCACTAGGAACCTGACCATGCTGGCACCATGTCGGCACCATGTCTTAGAATTCCAGCTTTCAGAACTGTGAGAAATAAATGTTTGTTTAAGCCAAACATAAATACAATTAAATAAAACTTAAAATTAAGTAAATAAAGATCTTACCTGAGTAGAAAATTCTACACAACAGTGGAGTTGAAATATGAACCCAGAGGCCACAGATGGGAGCTTTTTATTACTTCATTATGTTTTCCCTCTTTATCATCCCAACTAAACCATTTAAGGAGTATATTTTCTAATACTTTGATGACAATTAGGTGTGCAAGTACAAAACTCTGCTGTGCTGTGCTTGGTTTTCCCATTTATATATTAGTAGAAGGAGAAAAACATTTTGTCATCTCTTTGGAAACTCAAACTTACAGAGGGCTGAATATTTGTTTTATTATCTTTTAATCTGTTGTCTACAAAATCTCAGGGGATGAAATATTATCCTCATTAGATTCACAAGGACTTACTAACTTCAGAAATGTCTTCAGAGATGTGTTTGCAGAATTGTGGCTTTGTGTTTGCATAATAAACCAGCAGCATTTAAATGACATTCCTAAATCTGTTGAAGCTATAATGTGAGCAAAATTAATATCTGAGAGATGTTTATAAGGAATTATTTTTGTTACCAGCCAAGTAATTATTGGCATTGAGTAGATTCCAGGAAAGTCTTTTAAAAATCCTTCCAGAATTTTGAGCCAAGTCTGCATTCTTTGCACTGCCATCCAATAGAACCCTATCACATGGAACAATTCTAATTCCACACACGTTACTCTAGATCTTAGGTATTTTAACCTACAGGAAAAGCCAATAAAACTGTATTGGTTTTCTCAAGAATAAACTGAATAATCTCAAATATGTAAACCAAATTTTTCATGTTTTATTTGTAAAAGCAGGTTATAGAATTGGATGATCTCTAATTTTTCTTAGAGCTTTAAAATTGTGGGATTTATTAGGATATGGCAAATATTTTCATCAAATACAGTATCTTATGGAAACCCAGACATCATAAGAAGTCCTACTTACAAAATCATCTTAAGGCCCTGCCTGATTTTTAGCCCAGTCTTTAATTATTCATGTGTGTTCCATTTATTTATTTATTTTGGGTGAGGAGGTGGGGGTCAAGACCCTGGATTGGGATGAAACTTCAAATGCTACTATTGGTTATGTTTTGCTAAAAATGGATGTTTTCTGAAAACATGAAAAATTTATGATTTTTTGACACAATAAATGGAAAATATGGATATTTCAAAAACTAAGGGAAAAAATAGCAAAAAATATATACAAGTTTTACCCCCAAGAGTTATGATCTCTGTCACTTGTGCTTGGTGAACTGATCCCTATAATTTTTTTTTTTTTTTTTTTTACAAAATATAAAAACACATTATCTTCTTTTATTATTTTTCTACCTTTTATTTTAGAGTCAGGGGATACATATGCAGCTTTGCTACAAAGGTATATTGCATGGTGCTGAGGTTTGAAGCACAAATATATTCGTCGTCTAGATAGTGACCATAGTACCCAACAGTTAGTTTTTCAACTCTTGCCTCCTCCTTCTCTCCTTCCTCTGCTGGTCTCTAGTGTCTGTTGTTGCCATCTTTGTGTCCATTTGTACCCAATGTTTAGCTCCCACTTATAAGTGAAGATACGCAGTATTTGGTTTTCTGTTCCCGCATTAATTAGCTTAGGATAATGGCTTCCAGCTACATCCATGTTGCTACAAAGGACACGGTTTCTTTCTTATGGCTATATAGTATTTTAGTGGTGTATATAAACCATATTTCCTTCATTCAACCCACCTTTGATAGGCACGTGGGTTGATTCCATGTCTTTGCTATGGTGAATAGTGCTGTAATGAACATATGAATGCATGTATCTTTTTGGCAGAATGATTTATTTTCTTTTGGGAATATACCCAGTGATAAGGTTTGGCTGTGTCCCCACCTAAAATCTCATCTTGAATTGTAATCCAAATTATAATCCCCATGTGTTAGGGGAGGGACTTCATGGGAGGTGATTAGATCATGGTTCCGCCATGCTGTTCTCATCGTAGTGAGTGAGTTCTCACGACATCTGATGGTTTTATAAAGGCCTTTCCCCCCTCTTCACCCTGCATTTCTCTCTCCTGCCACCATGTGAAGGATGTGTTTGCTTCCCCTTCTGCCATGATTGTGAGTTTCCTGAGGCCTCCCCAGCCATGCAGAACTGTAAGT